>NC_000012.12:68672249-68823764 GCF_000001405.40 Homo sapiens
TTCAGCTTCTAAACAAGTTTCAAGGGCAATGTTCATGATAGACGCAACTTTTTCTTAACATTATATTGCATTGTCAATATGTATTCCATCATTTTATGCTTTTCAATGCACTTCCATTTATAAAAGCCGCATAGTTTGCTCTTATATGCCAATATGTTTGTAGCTCAAAATATACTTGAAATATTTTAAGTCCGTTTGTGCTCTTGATTTATGAACTAAATATACTACATTTTCCATTGTTAAAATAACACCTTGGCTAGGTGTGGTGGCTCATGCCTATAATCCCAGTGCTTTGGGAGGCTGAGGCAAGAGGATCACTTGAGCCCAGGAGTTCAAGACCAGCCTGGGCAACATAGGGAGACTCTAGCTCTACAAAAAATTTAAAAATTAGCTGGATGCGGGGGCACATGCCTGTGGTTCCAGCCACCCAGGAGGCTGAGCCCAGGAGATCAAAGCTGCAGTGAGCCATGATCACGCCACTGTACTCCAGCCTGGGCAATAGAGCAAGACTCTGTCTCAAAAAAAAAATTAAAGACACCTTGAATATTCTGTTGTTTTTAAAGAGCAGATTCATAGGATCATAGATGCATGACGCATCTTCTTAAAGATACATTATCATAGATCCTCTAATTAGAAGATATTCACTTATAGACAAAGATATATATATATATATATATATATATATATATATAATTTTTCTTTTTTTTTGAGATAGAGTCTCGCTCTGTCACCCAGGCTGGAGTGCAATGGCGCCATCTCAGCTCACTGCAACCTCCGCCTCCCAGGTTCAAGCGATTCTCCTACCTCAGCCTCCTGAGGAGCTGGGATTACAGGCACGTGCCACCATGCCGGCTAATTTTATATTTTTAGTAGAGACGGGAATTTACCATGTTGGCCAGGCTGGTCTCGAACTGCTGACCTCATGATCCGCCACCTTAGTCTCCCAAAATGCTGGGATTACAGGCGTGAGCACTGCGCTCAACCTATATATATATATTTGAGATGGAGTTTCGCTCTCGTTTCCCAGGCTGGAGTGCAATGGTGCAATCTTGGCTCACTGCAACCTCCATCTCCCGGGTTCAAGTGATTTTCCTGCGTCAGACTCCCAAGTAGCTGGGATTACAGGCACACACCGCCATGCCTGGCTAATTTTTGTATTTTTTAGTAGACACGGGGTTTCACCATGATGGCCAGGTTTGTTTCGAACTTCTGACCTCAGGAGATCCACCCGCCTCAGCCTCCCAAAGTGCTGGTATTACAGGCATGAGCCACCACACCCAACCATATATATATCTTTAAAATGATTTATTTAGTTTGGCTTCCTCTTAAAAAACACCAGATTTTTGTTTGTGTATAAGTAGCAGTGATATTGCAAAGGAGTTAAATATCAGCAATGCGAAGCAAAACAGTGCTTTGAATGTATTTTAGGAGGAAACTGCAAAATATATATGTTTGGTTCAGATAGACCAGGTAGCATAAAAGATAGAAGAAACTGTTAAATTTCAAAAAGTTCATGAGTCAGGGGAGGAAAAAAATATTTGAGCCTGGAATGTGTAAGTTGTGTATGCCCTCAAAAACTCAGGTGTGCTATTTGAACTTCATGTATAGGAGAAAAGCTAATGGAAGGATTCAATAAGACAGATACGATTCTAGGAAAGGATGTGGTTGTGGTGATTATAGCAGGAAGCCATTGATTAAGTACATTATGTCTTTTCAGATATGGTTTTTTTTGGGGTGGCGAAGTGTCTGCTTTGAAGAAAAATGCATTACTTTAAGGTCAAACGGGGTCAGAGTTTAAATGTGGAGCCTGGTTGGTACTTGTTAAATTGCGTGTCTTCCCAGTTAAGCAGTGTGATGTAGTGGGTAGGATCATTGTCAGTTAACTTTTGGTGAGTTATTTCACCTCTTTACACTGCAGTTTTCTCTTCTGTAAAATTGAGAGAATAAGAATATTATCCTGAAAAATTTGCCCTGGGAACTAAATAATATTTATATAGCAGTTGAGATGTCATGCAGAACAAAAAGACTCCTTGAATTGAATTCTGGGTCCCCTACTTACTCTATGGAACCTTAGACAAATTATCTCTCTATGCCTTTGTAATTTTATGACAGAAATAATAGTACCTACCTCATAGATTTATTGTGAGGATTAAATTAGTTAACATACATAAATTGCTTAGGACAGGATTGGCATAGTTGGCATATAATAACAACTCAATAAACATTGGTTAATATTATAATGCACAACATATAATAAATATTCAATAAGTGTTTGCTATTTTATTCAACTCCAAGAAGGCAGGGACCATATCTATTTTATTCACATTCACCTGTTGACACTTGGTAAGTGCTCAATAAATTTTTCTTGAATGAGAAGGTCATTTTCAATCAATACACTTGCATACAATTTCTCAAAAATGACTCTAACAAGATTAATTTTAAAAATTCATCAGATTATTTTTTCATTTTCATTACATTCACATATAGATATTTCACAGTACTCTCTACCACTTCAAATGATGTCTCTATCATCATAATCTTGTGGTGTTTAGAAACAGGAAGAATCCTTGAACAATTTATTTTTTATAGCTTCTTTTCTTAATTCTTTCAAACTGTGTTCAATTTGAAGAGGAAAATAGAATGGTGAAGTATAAAACTTTCTAATTTCAAATTACTTATATTACTGAATTGTGATTTAAATGCTGACATCTGGGAGATTTTTAACATAAAATCATAAATACATTACTGCTTCTTAGAATTCTAATGCTAAGAGTTAGTTTTCATTGTGGCTTATGCTTCCAATGTCTTAAGCATAGAGTAGCTAGTGAGATTTTTGAGGTAGTGGTGAATTTGCTGACAAAAAGTTTGCCAGACAAATAAATCAATTGCAATGACTCTTCTTCACAGACATTTCAAGCCTCATCAGTAATGGAAATGATCTTGGGGCAACTGAAAAACTAAAATCATTATCCTCTGTTGATATAGGACATTATTCAGCTAAACCACAAAACTATTATTGCAACTTATGCATTTTGCTTTCCTGTTTTCACGTACTTCTCTGCTTGGCATAGAAATCCTGTAAATCCAACACACATCCACGTTTCTGTAAAGTGATTTATTAGGGCCCTTGGGAGAGCACTGTTTTGCTGTTTTCTCTAACTAGAACAATTTATACTCTATTTATATTTTATTATGCAAAGAATGTAGCTGGCATGAACCTTAACCCAAAAATCTGAGCAGACAAGAAAAGTCACATTAAAATTTTTCTCTTTTGTAGTTGTAGTTCTGACTGAGCCCTCATTCTGCCTGATTTGATGGGTTGAGGGCAGGAAATTCAACCTCACACATCATAGGGGCTGTCTCCTCTTCTCTAGGGTTTGCACAAACATTGGGGGGAAGGAGGCGTGGCTTCCGTGCTGCTAAGACACAGGAAAAGGCTTTTAGCTTTCAGTAGATTCTATCTACCTAATGCAGGTCATTGTCCAGGCCTCAGTGTTTGTCTGAAGATGGAAGGCATGTGCTATTCACATCCTGAATTAAGTAGAAGAGGGTGGGAGTGAGGCGGGGTGGGCCTGAAAATACAGAGAAAGCAAACAGACATCATTATCTGAATAAATAACTTTTTGAAAACAATGTAACAAATAATTAAAAATTTGAACGGATAATCAGTTACCATATATATATATATTATATATATTTATATATATATATAAAATTTTTAAAGCAAATACATTTATTTAAGAATAAAACATTGGCGCTGGGTGCGGTGGCTCATGCTTGTAATCCCAGCACTTTGGGAGGCCGAGGCGGGTGGATTACCTGAAGTCAGGAGTTCAAGACCAACCTGGCCAACATGGCGAAACCCCATCTCTACTAAAAAAAAAAAAAAAAAAAAAACTAGCCGGGTGTGGTGGCGCATGCCTGTAATCCCAGGTACTTAGGAGGCTGAGGCAGGAGAATTGCTTCAACCTGAGAGACAGAGGTTGCAGTGAGCCGAGATCGCGCCACTGCACTCCAGCCTGAGCAACAAGAGCAAAACTCCGTCTCAAAAAAAAAAAAAAAAAGAAAGAATAAAACATTGGGCGGGGCACGGTGACTCATTCATGCCTGTAATCCCAGCACTTTGGGAGGCTAAGGCAGGCAGCTTGCTTGAGCTCAGGAATTTGAGACGAGCTCAGGATTTCGAGACCAGCCTGGGCAACAAAGTGAAACCCAGTGTCTACAAAAAAATACAAAAATTAGCTGGGCATAGTGGTGTGCACCTGTAGTCCCAGCTACTTGGGAGGTTGAGGTGGGAGGATCGTTTGAGCCCAGGAGGAGTCGAGGCTACAGTGAGCCATGTTTGCGACACTGCACTCCAGCCTGAGTGACACAGTGAGATCCTGAGGAAGGGGAGGGGAGGGGAGGGCAGGGGAGGGGAAAGGAGAGAAGGGGAGAAGGAAAGAGGGAAGGAAGGAGGGAAGGAAGGAAGGAAGGAAGGTTGGAAGGGAAAGACAGGAAGGAAGGAAGGAAGCAAGGAAAAAGAAAAGAAAAGAGCATTGTTCAGGCACAAGGCCCTCAAGTTTGGTTTGTTTTTTTTAAAAAAAGAATAAAACATTGAAGAAAGAAAAAAGAAAAGAAAAGAAGGCAAAAGAAAGAAACCCAGCCAGGCATGGTGGCTTATGCCTATAATCCCAGCACTTTGGGAGGTCGAGGTGGGAGGATCACCTGTGGTCAGGAGTTCAAGACCAGCCTGACCAACATGGAGAAACCCCGTCTCTACTAAAAATACAAAATCAGCCAGGCATGGTGGCGCATGCCTGTAATCCCAGCTACTTGGGAGACTGTGGTAGGATAATCGCTTGAACCTGGGAGGCGGAGGTTGCAGTGAGCTGAGATTGCACCATTGCACTCCAGCCTGGGCAACAAGAGCAAATTCCATCTCAGAAAAAGAACAGGGGAGGGGGAGGGGAGGGGAGGGGATTGTTCAGGCACAAGACCTTCAAGTTTGTTTTTTTTTAAAAGATAAAACATTGCCCTGCACAACAATGTGAATGTATTTAATGTCAATGAACTACAAACTTAAAAGATGGTTAAAATGGTAAATTTTATGTACACATTACCACAATTTTTTTAAAGTAAATTAAAAGAGCTGGTCAACATCCAGGGAGGAAAAAAAAAGACTAAAACATTGCCGACCATGCGCTAATATCAATTTGCAAAATGTAAGTTTTACTAGTAATAGATTTTAAGTAAGAATATATATATATATATATAGAGAGAGAGAGAGTTTGTTTGTTTTGTTTTTGTTTGTTTTTGAGACAGGGTCTCGCTCTGTCGCCGAGGCTGGAGTGCAGTGGCGCGATCTCGGTTCACTGCAACCTCCGCCTCCAAGGTTCAAGCGATTCTCCTGCCTCAGTCTCCTGAGTAGCTGGGATTATAGGCATGCACCACCACACCCGCCTAATTTTTTATATTTTCAGTAGAGATAGGGATTCACCATGATGGCCAGGCTGGTCTCAAACTTCTGAGCTCAAGTGATCTTCCCACCTCGGCCTCCCAAAGTGCTGGGATTACAGGTGTGAGCCACTAGGCCCAGCCAATTCTATTACTTTAGATAAAAAGAATATTACTAAGTTATAATAGCATGTTTGCAATGTTTTGAGCTCAAAGAGGAAAATTCCCCAAATATTAAAATGAAAAAAATCACACCATCTTATATCTGAACAAGCTGTTAATAGTCTAAATACTTAATTTTGTTTTATATAAGCTTCTGTGTATCCTACAACTGTATTCAAGATTTTCCACTATCTTTTGAACATGGCAAAAGTATTTAAGCACCTGCTATAACTTAAATCACTAGACACACATCTGACTCACTGGAATTCTTAATGAACTTATTAAAATATTTATTTGAATTTCAATTGGATCTTGCTATGAAAATATATTGCTTTAAATAAAGCAAGGCATAGTGGGCCGGGTGCAGGGGCTCACTCCTGCAATCCCAGCACTTTGGGAGGCCGAGGCAGGAGGATCACTTGAGCCAGGAGACCAGCCAGCCTTGGCAACATAGTGAGACTCTGTCTACACACACACACACACACACACACAAAGGCTTTTGGTTTTTTGTTTTTTTTAATTAGCCAGGCATTGTGGTGTACACCTGTAGTCCTAGCTATTTGGGGGACTGAAGTGGGAGGATCACTTGAGCCCAGGAGGTCAATGCTGCAGTGAGTCATGATTGTGCCACTACACTCCAGCATGGACAACAAAACGAGACCCTTTCTCAAAAAACAAAACAAAACAAGGCATAGCCAAAGTCTCACCTAAGATGAGCACTATGAACTTTGGTATAATTTTTGTTCAGTATTGTTTTATACATTTTACATTGTTTCTGAGCATACTGATATATATAATATGGCAGTCTGCTTCCCTCATTTAAAGTAAAACATAAACATTTCCAAGTTATTACAAATGCTCTCTAAACTCCCTTTTAATGACTGCATAGCAGTCTATGACATGGTCTTGCTTTATTCCTCTTCTGCTTCTACTTAGTAGGAGCAGAGAAAATATGCCAAATGACTGTAGAATGTTTGGGGAGCTGTAGTTGAATATAGCTGGAATACAGAATTTGAGGCAGAGATAATAACAGGTAAATCACGTCCTGAAGGCTGAGTGTAGTAGTTTAAAGTTAAAATTGAGACTGGGAAGAAACTGAAAGGTGACAGTCAGATTTGCATATTTAGAAGATCATCCTCTTAGCAGTATAAAGAATGGAATTCGGTTGGAGGACCTACCTTAGAACAGTGAAGAGATGATGAGTTGGGACTGGAAATGAAGAAGGTAGCAATGGAAATGGGAAGACATATTTGAGATTTGGTGACAAAGTAGATGCAGGGGATGAGAGAAGAATAATTCAATTGACAAACAGAGAGATACAGCACCAAACAAAGATAAATATCTCTGCCCTCGTGGAACTTTAGTCCTACTGAGATTAAATTCCAGATTTTTGGCTAACTGGATATGGCCACTTGCCAAGACTAAAAAAAAAAAATATACAAGGAGAAGCAGGGTTGTTGTTGTATTGTTGTTTTGGTGAGGAGTGAGGGAGGGGCAGGTCTATTGAGTTCATGTTTAGAGTTAGAACATGTTAAGTTTCAGGTACCTTATATCTTCAAAGTGAATGTGTCTAGTAAGCCACCAGACGCATGAGTCTGGAATATAAAATTGAGATATGGGCTAGAATATAGATTGGAAATCTATTAGGAAACTGTCAGTAGTTTGAAGCCTGAAAATAATGCAGAACTGAGGAAGACAGGGCTTGGGTCTGAACTCTGGAAAAGATTAATTGATGTTTAAGGTAAAGGCAGATTTATAGAGCTCATAGAGAAGACTAGCCAAGAGAAGGCGGAGTGGACTAGGAGAAGCCCACTAACAAAATCATGACACCAAATGGCATGGGGGTACTAAGGAAGAGAGTGGTGAATGGTGTCAAATATTCTGGAGATGTTGAGAAATGAAAAATAAACTTTTCCTGGCAGAGATCATTGGTCACCTTAGTTAGTTTTCATTTACCAGTGAAGGTTGAAGTCAGACAGCATTAGGTCACCTTGTAAATGTAAATGGAGACAAAAAGGAAATATGACTCTTTCAAATTCTTTTGGTAAATTATGAATGATGTAGACAAATAATTTTGAAATGAAAAGATGTTCATGTTAAGTGAATAAGCAGATTGTAGAACAGTTTTACAATATAATTCCATTTGTTACAGTTTTCTGTTGCTACATAAAAAGCTACCACAAAATGTAGTGGCATAAATCAATATATTATTCACTCTCTTTGTTCTGTGGGTTAACTGGACTTAGCTGGGTAATTCTTGATGAGGGTATTTCGTGGAATTGTAGTCAGCTATAGTTAATGGAATCATAGGATTCTTTAATTTTTTCCTTTTGTTTATGTCTATTATCTTTTTGTAAGAGATACTTATACTGGATTTATAGTAAGAAAACCACTACTGGCTATTTACAATTTAGCAAAACAGATGTTTGGTTGAGAAGGGAATGAGAGAAAAAACAGCAGCTAGAAAGGGGCATCAGGTGAAAGGATGCTTTCTTTTGGAGGGGGTCTGGGGAAAGGACAGTTCAGCAGATTTTGAAACTGAGACAAAGAGACCTCATATACCATCCAATGTGATTAAGAAATACTTAGTAACATCTATGTAGTATTCCTGCACTCTGCTTTCCCCTCAATGTATTTTAAAGTGTTTATTGGCTGGGCGCAGTGGCTCACGCCTGTAATCCCAGCACTTTGGGAGGCCAAGGCAGACAGGTGGATCGCTTGAGCTCAGGAGTTCAAGACCTGCCTGGGTGACATGGCAAAACCCTAACTTAAAAACAAACAAACAAAAAAATTAGCCAGGCATGGTAGTGCACACCTGTAGTCCCAGCTACTTCAGGGGGCTGAAGCAAGAGGATCGCTTGAGCTGCAGTGAGCCATGTTCACACCACTGCACTTCAGCCTCGGTGACAAAGCAAGACCTTGTCTCAAAAAAAAAAAAAAGTTATAATGAGGAAACAATCAGAAATCCAAATGACTAAAAGAAAAAAAAAGTCTGGGGTACTATTCTAAGTTAAAGTAGAATAAAAAGACATGACAAATGCATAATCCAATATTCGATCCTATACTGGAGAGGGGCAGTTATAAAGGACATTATTGGGACAATGGGGGAAATTTGCATACATTAGTTGTGGCATTCTGTCACTATTAATTGTTCTGAGTGTTTGATTTGCTGTGACTAGGTAGGAGAATGTCTTGTCCTTGTTTTAGGAGTGTCAAATAAAAAAAGCTTCAACAAATCAAATTTTAAAGATTTAATTGGCTTTTACTAGAGATTCATGAATCAAGCAGCATCCCATCTACAAAATAGACAGAGCTGAGCAGAGGAGGTGTGCTTTATAGACATAAAAGAGCTGAAGAGGCAGGGCATGGTGGCTCATGCCTGTAATCCCAGCACTTCGGGAGGCCAAGCTGGGCGGATCATGAGGTCAGGAGTTTGAGACCAGCCTGGCCAACATGGTGAAACCCTGTCTCTGCTAAAAATAAAAAATTAGCTGAGTGTGGTGGCATGTGCCTGTAGCCCAGCTACTCGGGAGGCTGAGGCAGGGGAATCGCTTGAACCCAGGAGGCAGAGGTTGCAGTGAGCCAAGATCGCACCACTGTACTCCAGCCTGGGTGATAGAGCGAGACTGTCTCAAAAAAAAGAAAAGAAATGGGCTGAAGAAAGCTGAAATAAGGAAGAAAAAACAGGTTGATCATTTCAAAGCTACTTTCACACATGAGGTCAAAACAGACCTTAGTGGCTCAGGTAGACTGAGCCTCTTCTGATTAGTTGCCGTGAATCTCCTGTTTTTTGGAAAACTGGCCCATTCTTATGTGTGTGTGTGTGTGTGTGTGTGTGTGTGTGTTTCTTTTTCTTTTCTTTTTTTTTTTTTTTGAGACGGAGTCTTGCCCTGTCGACCAGGCTGGAGTGCAATGGTGCAATCTCAGCCTACTGCAACCTCCGCCTCCCAGGTTCAAGCAATTCTCCTGCCTCAGCCTCCCAAGTAGCTGGAATTACAGGTGCATGCCACCACGCACGGCTAATTTTTTGTATCTTTAGTAGAGATGCGGTTTCACCATGTTGGCCAGGCTGGTCTCGAACTCCTGACTTCATGATTTGCCTGCCTCGGCCTCCCAAAGTGCTGGGATTACAGGTGTGAGCCACCGCGCCCGACCTCTGACGGTGTCTTAACTGTGTTGCCCAGGCTGGATGGGCTCAAGCAATCCTCCTATCTCAACCTTCAGAGTAGCTGAGACTACAGACACTGTTTTAAAGTACAGTTTGATTACATGGATTTGGCATGAGCTCAGTCCAAAGCAATGCTCCCCACATCAATTTTATTTAACAGAAGATACATGCTGAAAAATTTAGGGGTGAAGTATCATAACTACAGCTAACTTTCACATGGTTCAGCCAAAACCAAAAAACAAAAAGACAGCAATTGTGGTGAAATATTGTATGTTGAGGTCTACTGTACTATTTTTTTTTTTTTTTTAGACCAAGTCTCGCTCTGTTGCCCAGGCTGGAGTGCAGTGGCGTGATCTTGGCTCACTGCAACCTCTGCCTCCCAGGTTCAAGTGATTTTCCTGCTTCAGCCTCCCAAGTAGCTGGGATTACAGGCACTCACCACCATGCCTGGCTAACTTTCTTTTGTATTTTTAGTAGAGGCGGGGTTTCACCATGTTGGCCAGGCTGGTCTCAAACTCCTGACCTCAGGTGATCCGCCCACCTTGGCCTTCCAAACTGCTGGGATTACAGGTGTGAGCCACTGCAGCCGGCCTTACTGTACTATTCTTATATAAGCTTTTCTGTAGGTTTGAAAATTTTCAAAATAAAAAGTAGGGAGGGGGTGAGCAAGGTGGCTTATCATCCTAGGACTTTGGGAGGTCGAAGCAGGAGGATCACTTGAGCCCAGAAGTCCCAGATGAGCCTGAACAACATAGTGAGACTCCATTTCTACAAAAACATAAATTAAAAAAATTAGCAATTAGCTAGGTGTGGTAGTGCGAGTCTGTAGTCCCAGGTACTCAGGAAGCTGAGGTGGGAAGATTGCTTGAGCCCAGAAGACTGAGGCTATAGTGACCCAAGATTGCGCCACTGAACTCCAGCCTGAGTGATCCAAAGAGCCTGTTTCTTTTTTCTTTTCCCTTTTTTTTTTTTGAGACGGAGTGTTGCTCTCTCGCCCAGGCTGGAGTGCAATGGTGCAGTCTCGGCTCACTGCAACCTCCGCCTCCTGGGTTCAAGTGATTCTCTTGCCTCAGCCTCCAGAGTAACTGGGATTACAGGGGTCCATCACCATGCCTGGCTAATGTTTATATTTTTAGTAGAGATGGGGTTTCACCATGTTGGCCAGGATGATCTCGAACTGCTGACCTCGTGAGTCGCCCACCTCGGCCTCCCAAAGTGCTGGGATTACAGGCGTGAGCCACTGCACCTGGCCCAAAGAGCCTGTTTCCAAAAAAAAAAAAAAAAAAAAACTTGGGGTGGGGTGGTGGGGGTACAAATAATGATATTTGATGCCTCAGCTGTTGGGGATAAGGGAGGTGAAGGATGCTCTGGAGCAAACAGTTGGAGTTTGAGTGTCTTTGGGAAAGACGCTTCCTGGCCTTCAGCTCCTGAGGAGCTGTGCTATCCCAGACCTTTTCTCCAGTTTCTTAACAATTCCAAGATCTCCTGATGTGCTTCCAGTAAATTCCCTTTTGTTTAAGTTAACCATAGTCAATTTCTGTCATTGCAACCAAGAATACTAAACATAAAGCTACCATGTATACAATATACACCACATAAGAAATTTATTCCACATCCTTTTAAGGTAATGAAATGAATATGTTTTGAAATTTTGGCAGGGTTGCTATGGTGTTCATGCCTACTAATTAAATGTGTCAAAAGTGAAACCCAGTGCACTTTCCAAAAAGTTTTCCATCTTTGCATATGAACTGAACACAGGGCTAATTTTTTTGCCCCAAACACAGGGCTAATTTTTATTGTGTGCTTCATGGTCAATCACCTCAAGTACACTTCAAGTATACTACACGAATAAAACTCATTGGAATTCAACTGCTGAGGGACACAGAGCAAGAACATGAACCACAGATCATACTTTGAATAAACTTGCCCCAGCTCTGATTAGGACTACATTTCACTTTCCATAAGAAAAAGTGAACTTGTATACAGGAAAATTAGGAGGTGGGAGAATGAGACCATGCCAGGGCATTATTCTTCAGAAAGGTTATTAAAGGAGAAAAGTAACATTTCAATGACCTGCTATGTACAGTGTATACAGTTGATGTCTCTGTTTTTTTTGTTTGTCTGTTTTGTTTTTTTGAGACAAAGTCTCACTTTTTCATCCAGGCTGGAGTGCAGTGGCATGATCATAGCTCATTGCAGCCTCGGCCTGCCAGGATCAAGTGATCCTCCTGCCTCAGCCTCCCAAGTAGCTGGGACCACAGGCACGTGTCACCACACGTGGCTAATTTTTAAAACTTATGTTAGAGACAGGGACTCCCTATGACATCTTGTTTAATCCTCACAACACCCCCTGACAAAGGTATTGTTTTCTCCACTCTACAGATGAGGAATCTGCAGGTGCAGGGGGGTTGAACCTAGATGGAGCCCAAAGCAATGTTTTTATCAAAATGCCATGTTGTCTGAGAGGGGATAATAAGGTATGAAGAGGCCTTCCGGGGAACTATGCTTCCCAGAATTACAGCAGAACATAAATGCCTAAGGCAAAACTTCCACTGATTTCCTCTTTCCCAGCTGAAACCATGGAGGGTATTGAAGACAAGAAAAAGAAGATTCCTGCTGTGCCAGAAACCCTTTAAAAATGTGAGGGAAGGCTGGGCACTGTGGTTCATGCCTGTAATCCCAGCACTTTGGGAGGCCGAGGCGGGTGGATCATGAGGTCAGGAGTTCGAGACCAGCCTGGCCAGCATGGTGAAACCCCGCCTCTACTAAAAATACAAAAATTAGCTGGGCATGGTGGTGCACGCCTGTAATCCCAGCTACTTGGGAGGCTGATGTACAAGAATCGCTTGAACCGGGGAGGCAGAGGTTTCAGTGAGCCAAGATTGCATCACTGCACTCCAGCCTGGGCAAAAGGGCAAGACTCTGTCTCAAAAAATAAAAATAAAACACATGAAGGAATTTCACAGAGCTAAAGGTCAAGTGCCTGAGAAAGAAGTTTGCCCATAAAATGCTTTGAAAAGAAAGGAGAAGGCCAGGCGCAGTGGCTCACGCCTGTAATCCCAGCACTTTGGGAGGCTGAGGCAGGTGAATCACCTGAGGTCAGGAGTTCAAGACCAGCCTGGACAACATGGTGAAACCCCATCTCTACCAAAAACGCAAAAATTAGCCGGGTGTGGTGGCAGACACCTGTAATCCCAGCTACTCAGGAGGCTGAGGCAGGAGAATCGCTTGAACCCAGGAGGCAGAGGTTGCAGTGAGCCGAGATGGCACCACTGCACTCCAGCCTGGGCAATGGAATGAGACTCCATCTCGAAAAAAAAGAAAAAGAAAAGCAAGGAGAAAGCTACATCTATGAAAAAGCTAGGCACTGTCAGATGTGGTGGCTAACCCCTGTAATCCCAGCACTTTGGGAGACCCAGGTAAGAGGATGGCTTGAGCCCAAGAGTTTGAGACCAGCCTGGGCAACAACATAAGACCCCATTTCTCCAAAATATTTTTAAAAAACGGGGGAGGAGAGGAGGTCAGGCATGGTGGTGCGTGCCTGTGGTCCCAGCAACCTCAGGTACTAGGGAGGCTGAGGTAGGAGGATTGCTGGAGCCCAGGAGGTCAAGGCTGCAGTGAGCCGTGACTGTGCCACTGCACGTAAGCCGGGACAATAGGACAAGATCCTGTCTCAAAAAAAAAAAAAACAAAGAAAGAAGGAAGGAAGGAAACATAATTTAAAAAATCAAGTCCAAAAAAAAGCAAGCAAGAAGTAAAAAAAAAAAGCTCAGCACTGTCACAAGAAATATATGGCAAGAAAAGCTGGCAATTTCTATATACCTGTGAAACCCAAATTGTCACTTGCCTTAAGGATCAAATGTATCAATGGTGTGAGCCCAAAACTCTGTTGCAACTTCTTCACTTTCCCCAGATCTTCAATGGCAGCTTTGTTAAACTCAACAAGGCTTCAGTTAACACGCTGAGGATTGTGGAACCATATATCACATGGAGTACCTGAACCTGAAATCAGTAAATGAACTGATCTACAAATTGGTTATGGCAAAATCAATAAACAAATTACCTTAACAGATAACGCTTTGATTGCTAGATTTCCTGATAAATATGGCATCATCTGACTGGAGAATCTGATTCATGAGATCTATGCTGTTGAAAAACTCAAGTTCCTGTGATCCTTCAAATTATCTTCTCCACGAGGGAGAATGAAGGACTACCTATTTTGTATTAATAAAAGGTATAAATGCCAGCAACAGAAAAGACTATATCAACAGGCTTATTAAACGGATAAACTGAAGCATCTAACATTATTTTTGTAATCTGGTCAGTTAATAGCCAGTCACTACTTTCAAACTGGAAAAAACAAAAACCAAAACAAAAATGTGACTGACTCCTTCAAGACCAAAATACACCACTTTTTGCCTAGACGGCACTTTGAAATAGAGGGCAATACCATCATATTTCACGCTTGCCTTTCTACTTTTTAATACAGGTGAACTTTTTCTCCTTAATAGGAAAGAACACCAAGTAAAGAACAAATAGCAGTTATGGAAAATAGTTGCAAAAACTGCAGGGGGCTACAGAACAAAGGACTGAGTGTAGGCAGAGAGATAGAGATCCCCGAGGTGTGGGGCAGAGCCCACGCATCTGAATTCCAAGAACAGGCGCTTTCTGACAGAGAATACCAGGAAATGACTTCACATTTTTCCAGACTATCAACATACTTCATTCTTCCCAGTAGGAGAACCCAGGGCCTGTTCCACGCCCACAGACTTTGGTCAGGCAAAGCGGCCGCAGGGCGTCTGGGCTAAACGCAACCAGGAACACATTGGCAAACTTTTGCGCCTGCGCCCACCGGGCGTGCACCTGTAGGCTGAAGTCGCGCATGCGCTAGATGGGAACGTTGTTTCTTCTCCCCTACCCCTTTTCTGTGGGTCTGTTTTAGGGACAGACTGCTTCCGGGTCGAAGGGCTTGCTTCCGGAGAGCGGGAAGGCTAAAACGCGGTAGCTAAACTGCAGCCAACTTTGGTTGTGTGTGGAAAAGGCTTTAGCCATGGACAGGTCAGTACTGATGGTGGCAGCTGAGCCCGAAGTCTTGCCCGTCTCGCCTGTTGGCGAAACGAAATAGGTGAAACTAGACTCCCAGAAGAAGCCAAGGAGGTCCCGGGTGCTTCCCCTAAGGCTCCTTCCCCATGCCGGGAAATTTGGCCACAAATGGGGAAAAAGCCGCTTGGCGTGCGTCGGGGTGGGGTACAGATCATAATAGTCCCTTACTTTCCCACTACGTTCTGCGATCTATTCGGCGCTTTGGGGCAGCAACACTGTTCGCTCCTGGGGTGGGCGGGGTAGGTAGCGCGGCGTTCGAAATGCTAAGTGACCAGCCTGAGATCACAAAGCCAGTCAGTGAAGATACTGGGATCTCAGCCCAGACTTTCTGATTACAAGTGCCAGCATCAGATTCTGAGTTCCCTCTATGATCTGGGTACTGTGCTAGCCGCCTACAACAAAGATCAGTTATTCAAGATCCTTCCCCTCGGGGAATTAGTTGTGTAATGGAGACAACCAAGCAGTGTAAAGTGGTAAGTGTTTGGGGGCGATTAAGTCTCCTTGTCACTGTAACTATCAGGAAGACCCCTCAAAGAAGGTAACTTTCTAGCTGGTCTTTGAATAATAAGAGTACATTATTCGTACTCCAAACATTGAGTACCTACTATGTGACTGCCATTGTTCTAAAGGCGTTGAATATATATTATTAGCTTATTTAATCTTCAGAACAAGAAAAATCCTATGAGATGGGTACTGTTATCCTTTTTTCATATATAACACTGAGACTAAAAGAGGTTAAGGAACTTGCTGAAAGTTCGGAAGCTAATAAATACAAGAACCAAATTGCCAACCTGCATCTGTGTGTCTCCAGCCTACCTGAGGCTCTTTGAGGAGTAAGTAGTTGTTGACCAGGTGCTCAAGGGGGCAAATGTAGGTCTTTGTAAAAGAAGCATATTCAGAGGTGCTAGGATATGAAAAAAAAGTACGTGTAGCTCAGTGGTCACATGCAGTATACGTTTAAAGTGATGTTTGTGGCTGAATAGAAGACTGAACCCCTAAACTGGGGTCACATTGTAAATATCATTTTAGGAAATTTTTACTTCTATAGACCAGAGAGCTATCTGAAGGTTTTTTTTTTTGTTTTTAATTTTAATTGTTAAACGTTTAAAATTGTTTCTATGTGGTTGTTTCCCATACTTTCCTGCTGAAGGAATATCTGAAGGTTTTAAGTGGAGGAAAAGCATATTAGATTCTTGTCTTAAACACAGGCCTTTTAGTCCGCACAATTTAGTTTCTAGACCTTTGAGTGAAACTGACAGGGAGTGTTGTGATGGGACAGGAGACCTCCTGGGTTGAAATAACTTGAAGGGTCATTTTGCTCCAATTTACCACAATTCTTTTACTTACCCTTCTATCTCACAAGCTCTGTTTGTTGTTGTTGTTGCAAGCTCTGTTTGTTGTTGTTGTTGTTTGTTTGTTTTTTAATAGTACCCATGGTTTAAAGCATTTTGGAGACTGCAGAAAATCTTTTAAGAGAGAATTCCTGCAGTTAGGTAACTCCTCAATCCAACAAGGGAAATAAGATTCACTTTCATGAAGCAATTATCTAAAACAGTGTTATAATATAGATTCCAAGTGTTGAAATAATTCCTTAGGAGAAAATAACATAGTGAGTACTAGAAAGTCAGAGAAGTCTTTGTGCAGGTAAGATTTGAGTAAGGCTTTGAAGAATAAGCAGGATTTGGAGCCAGGAGTGCGTTCTCAACAAAAGATCTAAGACTTGGCTACTAGAATGACTATACCTTAACTTACTCAGGGTCCTTTACTCCAACTGTGATGATAAAATTCTTTATAAATGCTATATTCTCGTTTCACTTATATAAGCTTGATTATACTACTTTAGGAGTGGCTTTGGAGAGATATCATCCCCTGTAATCCGGGAGGCAGAGGTGACACGGACTGCACGGAAACAGAGTGCTCAGAAAAGAGTTTTACGTATCCTTTGCGATTTAAGCATCATTATAAAAATTGTAACATGTTTGGAATCAGTGTTGTAGAATTTTCTTTTTATAAGAGTATTAAATGGTAGCTATAATAAAATCCTGTAGAAACTTTTTTTCACTCCACAGAGCTGTCATTTGGTAAATATAATGCAAAAATTTAATGAGATCGTATTTCCCTAAAAATAAAGATATTTCTTACTGCTGACAGCTTCTGCTGAGATTAGATTTCTTTTTATTATTTGAAAACTGACTAAAAACATTTAGTTCAGTGTGTAGTTATCTAAGACTGACATCTGATCATTTAAATGGCAGAAGCAATGAATTATTTACCCTTTGCATTGAAAAATGGTAGCCCTAAAATACTTGTTCTTGAAAAATGTATTCACATAATTTGTATAGTAAAAAGATGGTTAATTCTCATTTTAGTGATCTCTTTTCTACATGGAAAACTTTTCTTAACTCGTTGTACAGTTCAGGCATCTCAAGATGAAAATTTTGGTAATACTACACCAAGAAACCAGGTTATCCCTCGAACTCCTAGCTCATTTCGACAGCCTTGTAAGATTTTTTGCTTTTAAAGCATTTAATAATAACGGTAATTATAATAGCAACTAACATTTATTGTAACATAATTAGTATAGTATTTGGTTACGATATCAATAAGCACTAATAATAATGATTGCAGTTATTATTCGTTTGAACTCTTGCCATGTACAAGGTACTGTACTTTCCATAAACACACGGTAACTATGACATGGGTATTGTTGGCCCTGTTTTACCAAAACTGAAAGTGAGACTTAGAGAAGTTAACTAATATATACAATAAGTATGTAAATAGGCTGGATGCAGTGGCCCATGCCTATAATCTCAACACTTTGGGAGGCCAAGGTGGGTGGATCACTTAAGGCCAGGAGTTCAAGACTAGCTTGGCCAACATGGCAAAACCCTATCTCTACTAAAAATACAAAAATTAGCTGGCGTGGTGGCACATGCCTGTAATCCCAGCTACTCCGGAGGGTGAGGCAGGAGAATTGCTTGAACCCGGAAGGCAGAGGTTGCAGTGAGCTGAGATTGTGCCACTGTACTCCAGCTGGGGCGACAGAGCAAAAAAAAAAAAAATCCCAGTTCCATTATTTACATACTCTTTTTTTGTTCTGAGACAGAAAAAAAAGAGTATGTAAATAATGGAACTGGGATTCAAACAATGATCTGTTTACTCCAAAGTTTATGCCCACTACACTGCACTGCCTCAGTATGCCTTATAAAATTAAAATATGAAGAATCCGTTGACTGATTAGTGTCTTTAACTGCTCAGTTATTCTATAATGAAAGCATCTGTAATTGCAGTAAAATGTTTCCTGTTAGGCTCAGTAGTACCTACAGCTCAAATTTAGAAAAATAAGTTAAATCCTTGTATCATGGAAATGTTAACATTTAAAGTATTTATTTGGTTAGAGTCTAAATAATGGAAAACTGAAAAATTTATTCTTCATTGTTTGTTTGCTTACTTTGTTTTGATAATGAATGCTCACGCACTTTAGGTTCTTTCTACCAACCTTTTGTTTATAGTTACCCCAACAAGCCGAAGCTTACTAAGGCAGCCAGATATTTCCTGCATTCTTGGAACAGGAGGGAAGTCGCCCCGACTTACGCAGTCTTCAGGGTTCTTTGGAAATCTCTCCATGGTATGTAGAAAAATAGGGCTAAGAACTCCTTTTGGGTCGAGTGTGGTGGCTCACATCTGTAATCTCAGCACTCCCTGAACTCCTGACCTCAAGTGATTCTCCCGCCTTGGCCTCCCAGAAGTCAGGAGTTTGAGACTAGCCTGCTTAGCATGATAAAACCCTGTCTCTACTAACAATAAAAAAATTAGCTGGGAGTGGTGGCTTATGCCTGTAATCCTAGCTGCTCGGGAGGCTGAGGTGTGAGAATTGCTTGAACCCAGGAGGCAGAGGTTGCAGTGACCTGTGATTGCAAAAGAAAAAAAAAAGAGAAAAAAGAACTTCTCCCTTTTTATAAAAATATGATATTTGATGTAAAAGTCTTTTAACAAATATTGAGTCAGAATCATCATAACAGTAACTTTAGGTTATATGGATTGAAATAATTAGACAGTAAAAAAACTGAAAACCTTATGCATCTGATATCACAGATGGAAACTGTGACACCAGCAACCTTTAGATGAAAATAAGATGTTTTAATCTGTCAGTTTGCTGACCAGAAGAAGTACATGCTGTGGTTGGTTGCTGATGGCTATAAAATCTGATCCCTGTTTTGAAGCATACAAGAGTAGGAATCAGAGGTTAACAGATGAAGAATATCTTAAGGAAGAGATAAAATGTATTAAAGGGGATAAAAGAGAAAATTGGAAAAAG
Organism: Homo sapiens; assembly: GCF_000001405.40. NCBI lineage: Eukaryota > Metazoa > Chordata > Mammalia > Primates > Hominidae > Homo > Homo sapiens. The sequence continues at coordinate 68,691,437 of NC_000012.12, forward strand.
TAGGTGAGATACTCTTTAGGAATCACTATGGAACAGTATTAAAAATAGCAAAAGAAATGTTATGTAAGCTGTGATGCAGAATGACTTCACCTAAGTATTAAAAATACACTATAGTAGCCGGGCATGGTGGCTCACATCTGTAATCCCAGCATTTTGGGAGGCTGAGGCAGGTGGATCACATGAGGCCAGGAATTTGAGACCAGCCTGGCCAACATGGTGAAACCCCATACCTACCAAAAATACAAAAATTAGCCAGGCGTGGTGGCACGTGCCTGTAGTCCCAGCTACTTGGGAGGCTGAAGTGGGAAGATGGCTTGAGCCTGAGAGGCAAAGGTTGCGTTGAGCCATGATCGTGCCACTGAACTCCAGCCTGGGCAACAGATCCAGACCTTATCTCAAGAAGGGAAAAAAAAAAAAAAAGACGCATACATACATATAATTTTTAGAAACCTTATTTGTTTTTAAAGTATCCACTCAGTGACAATAACTCCATCACTTTTCTGTATTTTTACTTTTTTGTTTTTTTTTAAGGTTACTAATCTGGATGACAGTAACTGGGCAGCTGCATTTTCATCACAGCGTTCCGGGCTGTTCACAAACACAGAGCCCCACAGTATAACAGAAGATGTAACTATCAGTGCTGTTATGTTACGTGAGGATGATCCTGGAGAAGCTGGTAAAATGGCATTGAGCTTTGTGACAAGTAGCTTTTCACTTTAGCAAGATGAAGGAAACCATTTCTTCCTGTTTCTGAACGTCATTATGTTTTTCTTTTCTTTCTTTCTGTCTTTTTTTCTTGAGAGAGTAGCTTAAACAACAGATTTTTGTGTGTGTGTTTTTTGAGACAAGAGTCTCACTCTGTTGCCGGGCGCGGTGGCTCATGCCTATAATCCTAGCACTTTGAGAGGCCGAGGCGGGCAGATCACGAGGTCAGGAGTTCAAGACCAGCCTGGCCAACATGGTGAAACCTCGTCTCTACTAAAAATACAAAAATTAGTTGGGTATGGTGGTGCACACCTGTAATCCCAGCTACTTGAGAGGCTGAGGCAGGAGAATCGCTTGAACCCGGGAGGCAGAGTTTGCAGTGAGCTGAGATCGCACCATTGCACTCCAGCCTGGGCTACAGAGCAAGACTCCGTCTAAAAAAAAAAAACAAAAAAAAAAACAGTCACTCTGTCACCCAGGCTAAATGCAGAAATGCAGTGGCACAATCATGGCTCACTGCAGCCTTAACCTCCCAGGCTTAAGCAATTCTGCAGCCTCAGCCTCCTGAATAGTTGGGACTGCAGGCATGTACCACCATGCCTAGCTAATTTTTTTTTTTTTTTTTTGAGATGGAGTCTCGCTCTGTCACCCAGACTGGAGTGGAGTGATGGGATCTTGGTTCACTGCAACCTCCGCCTCCCAGGTTTAAATGATTCTCCTGCCTCAGTCTCCAGAGTAGCTGGGATTATAGGCGTCTGCTACCACACCCGGCTAATTTTTGTATTTTTAGTAGAAACGGGGTTTTGCCATGTTGGCCAGGCTTGTCTCAAACTCCTGACCATGGGTGATCCACCCGCCTTGGCCTCCCAAAGTGCTGGGATTACAGGTGTGAGCCACTGCGCCTGGCCGCCAGCTAATTTTTTATTTATTTATTTATTTATTTATTTTTTTTTTTAGACGGAGTCTCACTCTGTTGCCCAGACTGGAGTGCAGTGGTGCAATCTCGGCTCACTGCAACCTCTACCTGCTGTATTCAAGTGATTCTCCTGCCTCAGTCTCCTGAGTAGCTGAGATTACAGGTGCCCACCACCACGCCTGGCTAATTTTTGTATTTTTAGTAGAGAGAGGTTTCACCATTTTGGCCAGGCTGATCTCGAACTCCTGACCTCAAGTGATCCGTCCTCCTCAGCCTCCCAAAGTCCTGAGATTACAGGCGTAAGCCACTGTGCCCAGCCTAATTTTTTATTTCTTTATAGAGACAGGGTCTACAAAGACCAGCCCAGGCTGGTCTCAAACTCCTGGACACAAGTGATCCTACCGCCTCAGCCTCTCAAAGTGCTGGGATTATAGGCAACAACATAAATTTATTTTCTCACAATTCTGGAGCCTAGATGTCTGAGTTAAAGGTCTTGGCAGGGTTGGTTTTCTCTGAAGCCTCTTCTCTTGGCTTACAGATGGCTGTCTTCCTCCTGTGTCTTCATCTGGTCTTCTGTCTATAATATATTTTTCCTTAAGCTAATTAGTTGTGGTTATGGCAATGGTATTTGATACAGTATCACTAGAAGGTTGAGAACCTCACCTTGGTTCTCAGTCTGAGCAGCATCTTGCCATTTTATCTTTTAATGTAAATAGCAGCCTGTTACGTTATTAGACAAGTCTCATATTGTAATTTTTTTCTTATTTGTGCTGTTGAAAGAGCATCTCTTTCTTTAGGTTTAGTTCTTAATCTAACATTGTTGATGTGTTTTGTTTTCTCCTGGACCGTAATGCTGTTATTTTTTTTCAGATAGTGTTATGACCACTGTACAAGCATTAACTCATGTAATCCTTATGGTGGTCCATTAAATAGTTACAATAATTATTCCCATTTTAGAGAAAAGGAAACTACTGCTCAAAGTGGTTAAGTAACTTACCTCAAACCACCTGGCTAGGAAGTAGTGGTACCAGGATTTGAAACTAAGCAGTTTAGCTCCAGAGCCCTGCTCTTAACACTTTGGTAACTACTACTTTCTTGTAGTATCTGTCAAAAACAGGTACTCGTATTAAGTGACTCAAAATACTTTCTACTTAGGCCAAGTGCCTGTATTTTCCCAGAGTGGAACATGCCATTTAGTATGTATTATAACTTTCTCCACTACTTTGTAATGGTGTGCTTAAAATATAATTCAGATATTTTTAAATCTGGCTCAATTTCTTAAGTAATTGTTTATAAAATAACTAGTATATCTTTGAGATCTTAAAAGACCTTTAGGTATCAAAAGAAAAAATAGATAAATTGGGCTACATCAAAATTTTAAACTTTTGTGCACGAAAGAATACAATCAGCAAAGTGAAAAGGCAACCCACAGAATGAGAGAAAATATTTGCAAATCATATATCTGCTTAGGGGTTAATATCCAAAATGTATAAAAACTGCTACAACTCAACAACAAAAAAACAACCCAATTTAAAAATGAGCAAAGAAATAGAATAGACAGAGGCTGGACGCAGTGGCTGATGCCTGTAATCCCAGCAATTTGGGAGGCTGACGCGGGTGGATCACCTGAGGTTGGGAGTTCGAGACCAGCCTGACCAATGTGGAGAAACCCTCTCCCTACTAAAAATACAAAATTAGCTGGGCATGGTGGCGAATGCCTGTAATCGCAGCTACTCGGGAGACTGAGGCAGGAGACTCGCTTGAGCCCGGGAGGCAGAGGTTGCGGTGAGCTGAGATCATGCCATTGCACCTCCATCCTGGGCAACAAGAGCGAAACTTCATCTCAAAAAAGAAAGAGAGAAAGAAAGAAATAGAATAGACACTGTTCTAAAGAAGATTCACAAATGACCAGTAAGCACATGAAAATATACTCAAATGTCACTAATCATTAGGAAAATCCAAATCAGAACTACAGTGAGTTACAAGATACTGCCTTACACCCGTTAGTGTGGCTACTGAAAAACAAACAAACCAACAACAAGAACAAAAACCCAGAAAATAACAAGTATTGACAACAATGTGGAGAAATTCAAATCCTTGTGCACTATTGGTTGGAATGTAAAATAGTACAGCTGCTATGGAAAACAGTATGGCAGTTCCTCAAAAAATTAAAAATAGAATTACCATATGATCCAGCAAACCTGCCTCTGGGTATATATCCAAAAGATTGGAAAGCAGAGTCTCAAAGAAATATTTGTACATGCATGTTCATAGCATGATTCATAGTAGCCAAAAGGTAGAAGCAAGCCAAGTACCTGTTGATAGATGAATGGGGGAAACAAAATGTGATCTATACATACAGTGGAATATTATTCAGCCAAATATGAAGGACATTCTGACACATGCTACAACATGGATGAACCTTGAGAACATTATGCTAAGTGAAATAAACCAGTCACAAAAGGGCAATACTCTATGGTTCCACTTACATGAGATATTTAGAATAGTCAACACATGTAGGGACAGAAAGTAGATGGATAGTTGTCAGGGGCTGGGGTAAGTGGAGAGTGGGGAGTTAATGTTTATTAAGTACAGAGTTTCAGTATTACAAGATGAAATAGTTCTGTGGATACATAGTGGTGATGGTAGCACAACAATGTGAATGTACTTACTGACACTGAACTATACACTTAAAAATGATTAAGCCAGGGATAGTGGCTCATGCCTTTAATCCTACCACTTTGGGATGCTGAGACAGGAGTTAGCAAGACCCTGTCTCTACAGACTAATAAAAAATTAGCTGGGCATGGTGGCTGGTATATACCTATAGTCCCAGCTACTGGGGAGGCTGAGGTGGGAGGATCACTTGAACCTAGGAGTTTGAGGCTATAGTGAGCCATGATTGCACCACTGTACTCCAGCCTAGGTGACAGAGCAAGATCCCCCTCTCTTAAAAAAAAAAAAAAGAAAAATGATTAAGATAAATTTTATATTATGTGTATCTTGCCAATTAAAAAAAATTTTGAGGCTGGGTGCGGTGGCTCACGCTTATAATCCCAACACTTTGGGAGGCCAAGGTGGGCGGATCATGAGGTCAGGAAATCAAGACCATCCTGGCTAACACAGTGAAACCTCGTCTCTACTAAAAATACAACAAGTTGGCTGGGCATGGTGGCACGCACCTGTAGTCCCAGCTACTTGAGAGGCTGAGGCAGGAGCACCGCTTGAACCTGGGAGGTGGAGGTTGCAGTGAGCTGAGATTGCGCCACTGCACTCCAGCCTGGGTGACAGAGTGAGACTCTGTCTCAATTTTTTTTTTTTTAATATAGCAGTGAATTTATAAAAGACTTGTAGCCATTTAAATTTTCAAACAGGCTGGGTGCGGTGGCTCACGCCTGTAATGCCAGCACTTTGGGAGGCTGAGGCGAGCAGATCACCTGAGGTCAGGAGTTTGAGACCAGCCTGGCCAATATGGTGAAACCCCATCTCTACTAAAAATACAAAAATTAGCTGGGCATGGTGGTACATGCCTGTAATCCCAGCTAGTTGGGAGGGTGAGGCAGGAGGATCACTTGAACCTGGGAGGTGGAGGTTGCAGTGAGCTGAGACCGTGCCATTGCACTCCACCCTGGACAACAAGAGTGAAACTCCATCTCAAAAAATAAATAAACAAATAAATACATTTTCAAACAAACGGAATTACCTAGAAGTACGTCACTTAACTTTTCTTTATTCCTTTTTTTTTTTTTGATGTGTTCTAGCATCCATGAGTATGTTTTCTGATTTCCTGCAGTCTTTTCTGAAGCACTCTTCGAGTACAGTTTTTGATCTTGTGGAAGAGTATGAAAACATCTGTGGTAGTCAGGTAAGCTAATTTCACTCCGTCGTTAGTCAAACTTCAGTATTTTTAGTTTTCATAAACAGCATTAACCTAATTTTCATAGTGTTTAAGGGAGGTGTCTTAGGGGAACAGTGGCAGGAGTGGAGGGAAAGTCAACTAGAGCATCCCTGCGTCTTACATATTGAGGGCCCATACAAGATTTCTTTGGGAGAAAAAAGGATTCTGCTGCTTTAAAAAAGGAAAATCCAGCCAGATGCAATGGCTCACACCTGTAATCCCAATGCTTTGGGAGGCCAAAGCAGAAGGATCACTTAAACCCAGCAGTTCAAGACCAGCCTGGGCAACATGGGAAGGCCTTGTCTCTACAAGAAATACATTTGCCAAGCATGGTGCTATGTACCTGTGATTCTAGCTCCTTGGGAGGCTCAGGTGGGAGGATTGCATGAGCCGCAGAGTTTGAGGCTACAGTGAGCCATGGTCACACCACTGCACTCCAGCCAGGGTGACAGAGTAGACCCTGTCTGAAGGAAAATCTAAAATATACGAGGAATATTTAGAACTCAACAATAAGAAATGAGGGTGGGGGGAGGGAGAGCATCAGGAAGAATGGCTAATGTATGCTGGGTTTAATACCTAGTTGATGGATTGACAGATACAGCAAACCACCATGGCACACCTTTACCTGTGTAACAAACCTGCACATCCTGCACATTTATCCTGGAACTTAAACAAAATAAAACTCAACAATAAGAAAATGAACAATCTAGTTAAAAAATGAACAAAAGATGGGAACAGGCACCTCACCAAAGAAGATATACAGATGGCAAATAAGCATATAAAAAATGCTTTGGCCAGACGTGGTGACTCATGCCTGTAATCCTAGCACTTTGGGAGGCCGAGGTGGGTGGATCACTGCAGGTCAGGAGTTCGAGACCAGCCTGGCCAACATTGTGAAACCCTGTCTCTACTAAAATACAAAATTAGCCAGGTGTGGTGGTGGGCACCTGTAATCCCAGCTACTTAGGAGCCTGAGGCAGGAGAATCGCTTGAACCTGGGAGGCGGAAGTTGCAGTGAACCAAGATTGAGCCACTGCACTCCAGCCCGGGCGATAGAGTGAGACTCCATCTCAAAAAAAAAAAAAAGAAAGAAAAGATGTTTCACATTGTATGTCATTAGAGAATTGCAAATTAAAATAATGAGATACTACAACATACCTATTAGAATGATGAAGATCCAGGCCAGTGCTGTGGCTCCTGCCAGTAATCCCAACACTTTGGGAGGCTGAGGCAGGAGGATCACTTGAGGCCAGGAGTTCAAGACCAGCCTGGGCAGCATAGCAAAACCCCATCTCTGCAAAAACAAACAAAAAAAGAAATAGAATGATGAAGATCCAAAAGACACCACCAAATGCTGGAGAGGATGTGGAGCAACAGGAACTATCATTCATTGCTGGTGGAAATGCAAACAACTATAGCTACTTTGGAAGACAGTCTGCAGTTTCATACAAAACTAAACATACTATTGTCATATGATCCAGCAAACTCATTCCTTGATATTTACCCAGGTGAGTTGAAAACTGTATACACAAAAACCTACACAGACGTTTATTACAGTTTTATTCGTAACAACTTGAAAGCAACCAAGATATCCTTCAGTGGGCGAATGAATAAACTGGTACATCTGAGCAGTGAAACATTATTCAATGCTGAAAAGAAACTGGCTATCAAGCCATGAAAAAACATGGAGGAACCTTAAATGCATATTGCTAAGTGAAAGAAGCCAATTTGAAAAGGCTACATATTATATGATTACAACTATATGACATTCTGGAAAAGGCAAAACTTGGAAACAGTGACAAGATCATCAGTTGCCAGGAGTTAGTTGCGAGGGAGCAATGAATAGGTAGAACACAGGATTTTTAAGGCAGTGAAACCACTCTTTATGCTATAATGGGGGACACATGTCAGTATACATTTATCATAATTCATGGAATGTACACCACCAAGAATGAATCCTAATGTAAACTATGGACTTTGGGGGATAATGATGTGTCAATATAAGTTCCTCAGTTGTAACAGATATACCATTCTAGTGTTAGATATTGATGGTGAGGGAGGCTGGGATTGTGTGGGGGAAGAGATATTTGGGTACTCTGCTTTCTGCCCCATTTTGCTGGGAATTTAAAGCTAGGCCAGGCACAGTGGCTCATACCTGTAATCTCAGCACTTTGGGAGGCCAAGACAGGTAGATTACCTTAGGTCAGGAGTTCAACACCAGCCTGGCCAATATGGTGAAACCTCATCTGTACTAAAAATGCAAAAAAATTAGTGGAGTGTGGTGGTGGGCACCTGTAATCCCAGCTACTCGGGAGGCTGAGGTGGGAGAATCGCTTGAACCCGGGAGGCAGAGGTTGCAGCGAGCTGAGATTCTGCCACTGCACTCCATCCTAGGCAACAGAGTGAGACTCCTCCGTCTCAAAATAAAATAAAATAAAACTACACTAAAGAAGTCTATTTTTAGAAAGAGGAAAAGACTTCAAGAAAATACTGCATTCAGTAATAATTGAAATAATAGTAATAGACAACTTTTTATCATTTAATGTTTCAATAATTGACCTCTGAATTGTTCTATTATAAATGCAGTAGCTTCATTAAATAACACTTAGTGAATCACTGGAGTCAGGATTCCAGCTGAGAATGTAATGAATGAAGTACAGATAACACTTTTATGAAGTACTAGTCTTAAGACAGTAGTAACATTACTTTGTGAATACTTATTAAGGGGTGGGAAAACCCATTGTGGTGTTCTGAATGAGAGCAGTCTTCTTCCTTAATTCATCTTGACAAGATAATGAGGTACTGTTAGTAACCTTTGAGAAAGATTTTCTTTACCCTGGGTCGTTAAACCTCCTGATAAACAATTGTGTGTATGTTTCTAGGGGGACCATTCATGCCTTTTATTAGATTTTTACATGTGCCTCAGTCCTGAAAAGGTGTTTTTGTTTTTGTTTTTGTTTTTTTCTCCCCAGAGTCTCACTCTGTCGCCCCAGCTGGAGTACAGTGGCAGGATCCCTGCTCACTGCAACCTCTGCCTCCTGGGTTCAAGTGATTCTCCTGCCTTAGCCTCCTGAGTAGCTGGGATTATAGGCACACACCACCATGCCTGGCTAATTTTTTATATTTTTAGTAGAGATGGGGTTTCACCATGTTGGCCAGGCTGGTCTCAAACTCCTGACCTCAAGCAATCCACCTGTCTCGGCCTCCCAAAGTGCTGGGATTACAAGCGTGAGTCACCACGCCCAGCCTCTGAAAAGGTTTAAGACCACTATTTTGGAATGAGGAAGGACTTTGGTGATGTTTTGTTTAGAAATGATAATGTTTTTGGTGCCAATCTTAGGAAAATATCTTTCTTGATTAGTTACCTGATATAAATTTTCAAACACAATTTTAAGATAACTTTTTAAATTTTAATTGCTAAAATGTTGGCTTATGTTATGATTTTTCCAGGTATAGGTTTGATTTAACTTATCCTCTGGGTAGATATACAGGGAGAAAAAAATATATCCATCACTGCCACTGTTGGATCTGAAATCAAGAGTATGTTAGACTTATATATATACTCAGATAAACACACCTTGTTCCAAATTAGATCCATTTCTAGTGGGAACATTACATTACATTTAATTTAAAAAGACAAAATAGAGAAGGCAATTTTATAATATATACTTATTAAATACAATTATTTTAGCACTCTATTCAAATACAAACTTATCAGTGACTCAAAATTGTAGAAAATTAACCTCTTTACATCTGTGTTTTTTATTCAGGTGAATATACTGAGTAAAATAGTGAGTCGAGCAACACCTGGACTTCAAAAATTTTCAAAAACAGCCAGTATGCTCTGGCTTCTTCAACAGGAGATGGTCACATGGAGGCTGCTGGCTTCTTTGTATAGGTAATGGCGTCTAGAATTCATAAGTGAAATAAACATAAGGTAATAAACCAACAGGCAAATTAATTTAAAAGTTAGGGTAGGTCGTGCTTGGAAATAGGTTTTGCTATTTTTGATGCTTATCATTTCGAATACCTTAGTTGTCAAGAGTGAGTCAAGAGGGAAGAGGAAGATATCAGATCATAAGGCTGGTAGTTACCAAAATTGGATGTGTGTAAAGACTTAAGGAAAGTACTAAAAATAGTGCAATACTTAGGCTAAATTAAGAAAAGAGCTGAAAGTTAGACTTCATGTAATATGGAAGTTTGAAAGAAGTTAACCAAATTTTCCAGAAGGCGAAGATTATACCATGTACATATCCTTGAATCTAGGAATTTTATGCCTAGAAATTTAACCTAAGAAAATAATGAGAAATATATACAACCACATATGAATAAAACTTTTAAATCTCAAAAAATTAAAAACTACTACTAAGGAATTGGCTAAATGAATTACAGCAGCTCTGTTAGAACCAGAATAACTTGCAGCCATTTTAAATTAGCACTTGTGGGCTGGGCACAGTGGCTCATGCCTGTAATCCCAGTACTTTGGGAGGCCAAGGTGGGTGGATCACTTGAGGTCAGGAGTTCAAAACCAGCCTGGCCAACACAGTAGAACGCTGTCTCTACTAAAAATACAAAAATTAGCCAGGCGTGGTGGTGGGCACCTATAATCCCAGCTACTTGGGAGGCTGAGGCAGGAGAATCGCTTGAACCTCGGAGGCAGAGGTTGCGAGCCGAGATTGTGCTACTGCACTCCAGCCTGGGTGACAGAGTGAGACTCCATCTCAAAAAAAAAATAATAATTTAAATAAATAAATAAATAACCATTTGTGTATATTCATTGACATGGAAAGATATTCATGACATATTGTTATATGAAAACTGGATTTCATATTAATATATAAATGATGTCCCCTCTGCCATTTGTTTTGTTTTTGAAAAAGAGTCTCACTCTGTTGCTCAGGTTGAGTGCAGTGGCACAACCTTGGCTCGCTGCAACCTCCGCCTCTGAGGTTCAAGGGATTCTCCTGCCTCAGCCTCCTGAGTAGCTGGTATTACAGATGCTGGCCACCATGCCTAGCTAATTTTTGTATTTTTATTTTATTTTTATTTTTGAGATGGAATCTCGCTCTGTTGCCCAGGCTGGAATGCAGTGGTGTGATCTCGGCTCACTGCAACCTCCGCCTCCCAGGTTTAAGCGATTCTCCTGTCTCAGCCTCCCGAGTAGCTGGGATTAGAGGCGCATGCCAACACGCTTGGCTAATTTTTATATTTTTAGTAGAGACAGGGTTTTGCCATGTTGGCCATGCTGGTCTCAAACTCCTGACCTCAAGTGATCCACCCACCTCGGCCTCCCAAAGTGCTAGGATTATAGGCGAGAGCCACCGTACCTGGCCTAATTTTTATATTTTTAGTAGAGACAGGGTTTCACTATGTTGGCCAGGCTGGTCTCGAACACCCGACCTCAGGTGATCCACCCACCTCAGCCTCCCAAAATGCTGAGATTACAAGCGTGACCCACCGTGCCCTGCCTAACTTTTTTTATTTTTAGTAGAGACGGGGTTTCACTCTGTTGTTCGCCAGGCTGGTCTTAAACTCCTGACCTCAAGTGATCTGCCTGTCTCAGCCTCCCAAAGTGCTGGGATTACAGGTATGAGCCAGTGTGCCCGGCCTGTTGTCCCATTTTTGTTTACAAAAATACAGATATACATATTTGAAAAAATAAATAATAAAAAATTTTTAAAAAGAAGTTAGCCAAATTTTCCTTCTCTCAGATGCTCAGTGGCAAGTTCATTATATTCGTGTGAAATAAGGCTTTTTTATTTTGTCTTATTTTTCCCCAGAGACAGAATACAGTCTGCATTAGAAGAGGAAAGTGTATTCGCAGTTACTGTAAGTTTTATATTAATTTTTTCTTTTATAAATACATACAAATTAAAATGTTACTAATAGGATTTTTTTTTTTTTTGAGTTGGAGTTTCGCTCTTGTTGCCCAGGCTGGAGGGCAATGGCGTGATCTCGGCTCACTGCAACCTCTGCCTCCCGGGTTCAAGTGATTCTCCTACCTCAGCTTCCTGAGTAGCTGGGATTACAGGCGTGCCCCACCACGCCCAGCTAATTTTTTGTATTTTTAATAGCAAACGGGGTTTCATCATGTTGGCCAAGCTGGTCTCGAACTTCTGACCTCAGGTGATCCACCCACCTTGGCCGCCCAAAGTGGTGGGATTACAGGCATGAGCCACTGCGCCCAGCCAGGATTTTATTTTCAGCCTTCCATCTTGAGTTTCTTCATTTTAAAAATTTTACAAGTAAATAAAAAGTTCAGTCTCATAAAATAATCAAATATTGATTTATATTAGAGAGTTAGAGGTAAAAGTCCCTTTTTATCCCACTGACTATTTAGTGTAACAGTTTTGGTATGTATCCTACCAGACATTTTTCTATGCATCTTTATAGATACATACATATATATAAACATACACTCACATACTTGTATACACACACACATTTGTTTTTTAACATATAATATGATTTCATTTATACATTATACTGAGAGTTTGTTTGTTTTTTTTTTTTGAAATGAAGTTTCACTCTGTCACCCAGGTTGGAGTGCAGTGGCACGATCATGGCTCACTGCAACCTCCGCCTCCTGGGTTCAAGTGATACTTCTGCCTCAGCCTCCCGAGTAGCTGGGACTACAGGCTTGTGCCACCACGCCTGGCTAATTTTTGTGTTTTTAGTAAAGATAGGGTTTCACTGTATTGACCAGGCTGGTCTCGATCTCCTGACCTTGTGATCCGCCCACCTCAGCCTCCCACAGTGCTGGGATTACAGGTGTGAGCCACTGTGCCCGGCTTATACTGAGAGTTTTAAAATTATTATTTCTTAGATTTTTTAAAATTTATGTAGGTTTTTACCATATTTTTTCATAGTATGTCAGAGTATAAATGTACTGTAATTTTTTGAGACATTCAGCCGGACATATTTAGGTTGTTACTGGTATTTTTGCTGTAGCCATTAATAATGCAGTAAATAGTTTGGTGTAGAGGCACATGCCTGTGGTCCCAGCAACTTGTCAGGCTAAGGCCAGAGGATCACTTGAGCCCAGGAGTTCAAGGCTACGGTGAGCTACAACCATACTACTGCACTCTAGCCTGGGCAACAGAGTGAGATCCCGTTTCTAAAAAATAAAAAAAAAGTGCAGTGAATGTTTTTCTTCATACATATATATGTGTGTGAGAGAAATTCTGGACAAGTAAACACCATTCTTTTGCCCTTAGGATTCAATGCTGTCTTCTACAGCCTCCAGGCCTGGGATCCTGAAAGGACCTTGGGTGGTAAAACTGGCCTTGGCTGGATTGAGGGTTTGGGGAAGAAACATGCAAATAGCCTCAGATGTTTTTTAAATGCAGCAAGTAACATTTCTGGATGAGACTTATTTCCAAAATAAACCAGCTATATCTGTTTTGAAAAAATATGTACACATATATGCCTGTTAAATCATCAAGATCAGATGCCTTTTTGGGGTTTAACTTCTTTATATTTTCTGTTTTTAAAAGTAATTCTTTTTTTTTTTTAAGAGATAGGGTCTTGCTCTATTGCCCAGGCTGGAGTGCAGTGGCGTGATCTCAGCTCACTCCAACCTCCACCTCCCGGGTTCAAGCGATTCTCATGCCTCAGCCTCCCTAGTAGCTGGGATTACAGGCATGCACCACCACACCCGGCTAATTTTTGTACTTTTAGTAGAGACAGGGTTTTAACCATGTTGTCCAGGCTGGTCTTGAACTCCTAGCTTCAAGTGATCCACCTGTTTTGGCCTCCCAAAGTGCTGAGATTACAGACGTGAGCCACCGTGCCTCGCCCAAAAGTAATTCATATTTGAAGCAAGTATATATAGTTAAAAAAGGAGATAATGTATATTTATAATAAATATTTTATGTATATCTGTTAGACTGCTTTTTTTTTTCTTTTGTTTCTTTTTCTTTTTTGGGGGGTGGCCAGCACGGCGGGGACATGGTCTCACTTTGTCTCACAGGCCAGAGTGCAGTGGCATGATCATAGTTCACTGCAGCCTCGAACTCTTGGGCTCAAGTGAGCCTCCTGCCTCAGCCTCCCAAGTAGCGAGGACTACAGGTGTGTACCACCATGCCTGGCTAATTTCTTTTTTATATTTTATAGAGATGGGGTGTCTTACTATGTTGCCCAGGCTGGTCTCAAACTCCAAGGCTACTTTTTCACTTAAAATATTTTTTAATATCTTTCCAATCTTTTAATTTGTTTATCCCACAAATACTTCATTCCAAATGCACATGTAGGAAGACTGTCATATTTGGCTATTTATTGAGCTCACTTACTAGTTTTAATAGGTTTCCTCTGGTTTTCCAGGCAATTCTGTTATCTACAAGTAGTGATGACTTTGACTGTTTTTCCATACTTTTTGCTAACTTAATTCTTTTCCTGGTTTTATTATGTTAGTTAGACTTTTCAAAGTAAAGTTGAATAATAATGAACTCTTACTCCTCATCTTCTGGATTTTAAAGGGAGTATCTCACTTTACAGTTAAGTATAGTCAGCCGAAATTCCTTATATGTGGGTTCCACATCCATGAATTTAACCAACTGCAGATCAAAAGTATTCTTTAAAAAAAAAAAAAAAAAAAAGAATCACCAAGAAGCAGCTTCTCTGTTCCTTCTCGAATCTCCGCCTAGCTCAGCCTGCCTGCCTTCACTCCTGCCTCCACCATGTCCATCAGAGTGACCCAGAAGTCCTTCAAGGTGTCCAACTCTGGCCCAAGGGCCTTCAGTAGCCATTCCTACATGTGTGGGCCCAGTGCCTGCATCAGCTCCTCGAGCTTCTCCCGAATGGGCAGCAGCAGTTTCCGGGGTAGCCTGGGTGGAGACTTTGGCAGGGCCAGTGGTAGGGGAGGCATCACCCCAGTCACGGTCAACCAGAGCCTGCTGAGCCCCCTTAACCTGGAGGTGGACCCCAACATCCAAGCTGTGTGCACCCAGGTGAAGGAGCAGATCAAGACCCTCAACAACAAGTTTGCCTCCTTCATTGACAAGGTACAGTTCCTGCAGCAGCAGAACAAGATGCTGGAGACCAAGTGGAGGCCCCTGCAGCGGCAGAAGACGGCTCAGAGCAACATGGACAACATGTTCGAGAGCTACATCAACAAACTTCTGCTGGCAGCTGTACACTCTGGGCCAAGAGAAGCTGAAGCTGGAGGTGGAACTTGATAACATGCAGGGGCTGGTGGAGGACTTCAAGAACAAGTACGAGGATGATATCAAAAAGCATACAGAGATGGAGAATGAATTTGTCCTCATCAAGAAGGATATGGATGAAGCTTACAAGAACAAGGTAGAGCTGGAGTCTCACCTGGAAGGGCTTACTGAAGAGATCAGCTTCCTCAGGCAACTGTATGAAGAGGAGATCCGGGAGCTGCAGTCCCAGATCTCGGACACATCTGTGGTGCTGTCCATTGACAACAGTCGCTCCCTGGACATGAACAGCATCATCGCTGAGGTCAAGGCACCGTACGAGGAGATCGCCAACCACAACCAGGCTGAGGCTGAGAGCATGAGATCAAATATGAGGAGCTGCAGACGCTGGCTTGGAAGCATGGGATGACCCGTGGTGCACAAAGACTGAGATCTCCAAGATGAACAGGAACATCAGTCGGCTCCAGGATGAGATTGAGGGCCTCAAAGGCCAGAGGGCTTCCCTGGAGGCCGCCATCGCAGATGCTGAGCAGCATGGGGAGCTGGCAGTTAAGGATGCCAACACCAAGCTGTCCAAGCTGGAGGTGGGCGGGCCAAGCAGGACATGGCACGGCAGCTGCGGGAGTACCAGGAGCTGATGAACTTCAAGCTGGCCTTGGACATCAAGATCACCACTTAAAGGAAGCTGCTGGAGGATGAGGAGAGCCAGCTGGAGTCTGGGATGCAGAACATGAGTATCCATACGAAGACCACCAGCGGCTATTCAGGTGGTCTGAGCTCGGCCTATGGGGGCCTCATAAGCCCTGGCCTCAGCTACAGCCTGGACTCCAGCTTTGGCTCTGGTGCGGGCTCCAGTTCCTTCAGCTGCACCAGCTCCACCAGGGCTGTGATTGTGAAGATCGAGACCCACGATGGAAAGCTAGTGTCTGAGTCGTCTGATGTACTGACCAAGTGAACAGCCGTGACAGCCCCTTCTAGCCTACCCCTTCTGCGGCTGCCCCAGAGAGGCTGCTGTCCAGAGGAGCACAGGGAACAGGAGACCCACCTGAGGCTCAGCCCTAGCCCTCTGCCCACCCGTGGGGGGAGTTTACTGCCTGGGGTACCCCCCTTGCCCATGCCTACAGCTACAAAACAATGCAATTTTTTTTTCCAAAATAAAACCTCAGCTAGCTCTGCCAACTGTCAAAAAAGAAAAAAAAAATGGTCCAGGTGTGGAGGCTCATGCCGGTAATCCCAACACTTTGGGAGGTCAAGGTGGAAGGCTCAGTTTAGCCCAGAGTTCAAGAGCAGCCTGGGCAAGATAGCAAGACCCAGTCTCTGCAAAAAGTGACAAACTTAGCCGGGCATGGTGGTGCATGCCTAGTCCCATCTACATGTGAGGCTGAGATGGGAGGATCGCTTGTGCCCAGGAGGTCAAGAATGTAGTGAGCTGTAATTGTGCTACTGCACTCCAGCCTGGGTGACAGAGCGAGACCCTGTCTCAAATAAAAGATCATTGGGTTTGTACTGAATATGTGCACATGTTTTTAATCTTTATTCCCTAAGTGATATAATATAACAACTATTTACATATGTAGCATTTACATTATATTAGATATTATACATAATCTAGAGATGATTTTGTTGTTGTTGTTGTTCATTATTTTTTTATCACAGCCAGGTCCAATAGAGATGATTTAAAATATACTACAGCATTTTGGCTGGATGAGGTGGCTCATGCCTGCGATCCCAGCACTTTGGGAGGCCGAGGCAGGTAGACTGCTTGAGGCCAGGAATTTGAAATCAGCCTGGCCAACATGGTGAAACCCGTCTCTACTAAAAATACAAAAATTACCCAGGTGTGGTGGCAGGCACCTCCCTTCTTCTTGGGAGGCTGAGGCATGAGAATCACTTGAGCCCAGGAGGCAGAGGTTGCAATGAGCTGAGATCAGGCCCACTGCACTCCAGCCTGGATGACAGAGTAAGACTCTGTCTCAAAAAATAAATAAATAATTAAATAAAATATACTACAACATTTTATATAAGGGCCTTGAACATCCACAGATTTTGGTATCCACGAGGGGTCCTGGAGCCAATCCCCCATGGATACCAAGGGACGACTATATGTTTGCTAGAGGTTTCAGTTAGTCTAACTTATGAGGATATATATATTTTTTACATCAAAATGGCAAGGTAAAATTTATGAAGATATTTTTATGAAATATTCTGGTACCTGTCAAGAAGTCCATGTAGCTTTTCTCCTTTAACCCATGGATAAAATGGATTAATTAATTAATTTGACCCATTCTTGAACTGGTCACAATATATTATCCTTTTAATATACTGCTTAGTATTACTTGCTAATATTTGTATTAAATTGTCTTTTAAAGTCAGTTGTAAGAGCCTTGGATTGCTCTTAGCTTTTATTACTTATCAACTTCTATATAGACTATAAAGGATTTTAACGTTTTTAAATGTTTAGTTTCTAACATGTAACAGGGCTGTATTCAGCCCTGTATTACAGTTTTTTTTTTTTTATTTTGGGATGGAGTCTCACTCTGTCACCCAGGCTGGAGTGCAGTGGCGTGATCTCAGCTCACTGCAACCTCTGCCTCGTGGGTTCAAGTGATTCTCGTGCCTTAGCCTCCGAGTAGCTGGGATTACAGGCTTGCGTCACCACGCCCAGCTAATTTTTGTATTTTTAGTAGAGATGTGGATTCACCATTTTGGCCAGACTGGTCTCGAACTCCTGACCTCAAGTGATCTGCCTGCCTCGGCCTCCCAAAGTGCTGGGATTACAGGTGTGAGCCACCATGCCTGGCCTATTAAAGTTTTTTGTTTGTTTTATTTTGTGTTTATTTTTCCCCAAAACACCATCTCTGGGAAAATGGAATTTTAAATTTCAAGTGTAAAGAATCAATATACCAGGTAAGAGCAGCTACAATTGATGTAGCAGTTTGGAATTTACACAATAGATACCTTTCAATGATGAATATACAGATTTACTATGTGGTAAAATGTTTATGTATAGATGATTAACTGTACTTGTTTCATACTGGCTTTTTATCTTTCTATTAAAATAATATTTCTTAACAGCATCTTCTTTTCATTCTGTTTATCCTTTTAATATTTTTCATAATAGGCTGTTAATGCCAGTGAAAAAACAGTTGTGGAAGCGTTATTTCAGAGGGATTCACTTGTTCGACAAAGTCAGGTATGACTAGAATTTAAAATTTTTTTTTATGAAACATGGAGAAAAGGTTAATGACATGCAAAGTACTGAAGTGTTTTTTAACTTAAAACTGTTTTCTGAATTTTTTTTCTACTTGATCTTTTTATTTGCAATTAAAAGGAATTAGAAACCTTATTCTTTGATTTTTAAGTAATAGCCCTAGTATTTTCAGGAATAGCCTGTTAAAAACGATTATTCCTATAGAAAATTTTATTCTTTTGCCATAATATTTATTTATCTTAAAGTAAAAATAGTGTTTGGAAAAATTGTTACTTGATATTTTTAAAATCAGAAACTTCACGCCTGTAATCCCAGCACTTTGGGAGGCCAGGGCAGGCAGATCTCGAGGTCAGGAGATCGAGACCATCTGGCTAACAGTGAAACCCCGTCTCTACTAAAAATAAAAAAAAAATTAGCTGGGTGTGGTGGTGGGCGCCTGTAGTCCCAGCTACTTGGGAGGCTGAGGCAGGAGAATGACGTGAACCCAGGAGGCAGAGCTTGCAGTGAGCCGAGATTATGCCACTGCACTCCAGCCTGCACGACAGAGTGAGACTCTTTCTCAAAAAAAAAAATAAAAAATCTGAAACTGTTTGAATTAAGGGTAGTAGTACCACTACAAATAAAACACAAATAGATTTGGTAGTTAACACTAATTTATTTTTTTCTTTCTTTCTTAGCTGGTGGTAGATTGGTTAGAGAGTATTGCCAAAGATGAAATTGGAGAATTTTCTGATAATATTGAGTTTTATGCAAAATCAGTATATTGGTAAGTTACCAAACTTTAATTCTTAAGGTCACTCAATGTTGATATTGTTCATTCATCTTTCAATAAGTATTATTCAGTTTTTACTTTGTTCACACTACTTTGTTCACACTACTTTGTTTGGTGTGTGAGCAAAACAAATAAAGGCTTTGCCTTTATGGAATTTATAATTGTTTAAGAGAGTTAGATAGCTGATTTGCAAATATACAGTTGGCCCTCTGAGTTTGTGGGTTTCGCATCCATGGATTGAACAAACTGCAGATCAGAAATAATTGGAATAAAACAAGCCGGGTGTGATGGCTCACGCCTGTAATCCCAGCACTTTGGGAGGCCAAGGTGGGGGATCACGAGGTCAGGAGTTCCAGACCAGCCTGACCAACATGGTAAAACCCTGTCTCTGCTAAAAATACAAAAATTAGCCGGGTTTGGTGACGCACACCTGTAATCCCAGCTACTTGGGAGGCTGAGGCAGGAGAATCGCTGAAATCCAGGAGGTGGAGGTTGCAGTGAGCCGAGTTCATGCCATTGCACTCCAGCCTGGGCGACAGAGCAGGCCGTCTTAAAAAAAAAAAAAAAAAACAGAAAAGAAATAATTGGAATAAAACAATAAAAATAACAAGATAAAAAAAGTAATACAAATTTAAAAATATAGTATAATAGTTATTTGCATAACATTTACGTTGTATTAGGTATTCTAAGTAATCGAGATGATATAAAGTATATGGGAGAACATGTGTAGGTTATATACAAATAATACAATATTTTATGTAAAGGATCTGAGCACCCTTGGATTTTGGTATCCAAGTAGGGTCCCCTATGGATACCAAGAGACAAATGTATATTCTGTTGGGTATTCCGAGCTTTGGGGAAAAAAATGAATTAGAGGCTCGGCGCTGTGGTTCACACCTGTAATCCCAGCACTTTGGGAGGCTGAGGCGGGTGGATCACGAAGTCAGGAGATCAAGACCATCCTGGCTAATGCGGTAAAACCCATCTCTACTAAAAATACAAAAAATTAGCCAGGCGTGGTGGCGGGCGGATCACGAAGTCAGGAGATCAAGACCATCCTGGCTAATGCGGTGAAACCCATCTCTACTAAAAATACAAAAAATTAGCCAGGCGTGGTGGCGGGCGCCTGTAGTCCCAGCTACTTGGGAGGCTGAGGCAGGAGAATCGCTTGAACCCAGGAGGCAGAGGTTGCAGTGAGCCGAGATTGCGCCACTGCACTCCAGCCTGGGTGACAGAGTGAGACCCTGTCTCAAAAAATAAATAAATAAATAAAATAAAAGTAACTCAGAAGGGAGATTGTTTTTAAAGTAGGAGATCCTGAATTCTGTATTTAAATACTGATATGACAGGAGCTTGAACCTGGGAGGCAGAGCTTGCAGTGAGCCAAGATCGCTCCACTGCACTCCAGCCTGGGTGACAGAGCGAGACTCCACCTCAAAAAAAAAAAAAAGGATTAGAATTAATGGATAGATACGACAGGGAGTCCTACTTTAAATTGAAGAGAAGGCTTTTCTAAGGTAGTAAGAGACTTTTATGAAATAAAGGCAGCCAGCCATGCAAAAATCTGGGGGATAACTATTCTGAGCAGGAAAACAAACTGGAATGACCCAGAGAACGTAAAGTGTTTGCACAAAGAAGCCAGTGGGAACACAGCAAGGAAAAGAATGGTAGAAAACAAGACTGGAGGAAGCCAGATATAGGGCTTTTACAGGCAGACAAATGTAACTATTCTGGACTTTATTCTAAATGTGATGGGAAACCTTGAGAATAGAAGAATGACATGGTCCAATTTATGTTTTCAAACAATCACCTGCCTGCTTTTTTCTTAATAAGATTATTGATCATATCAGAAGATGATCTTCTGATTGTCAAGAAGACACTTCTGTCCTGTTTTCAGCTACTTGTGTGGGTTTGTTTTGTTTTGTCTTGCTTTTGCTTACACTCTTCAGTACTTCTAAATTATTATAGGCCCTTGAAGCCAGAAACCTCCCCTAAGTTAAAGGGACAGTTTATTTTAAGTCTTGCAAAAGATTTTTAAAAGGTCAGATTGTGGCTGGGCATGGTTTAAGACTTGCAAAAGATTTTTAAAAGGTCAGATTGCGGGCAGGTACAGTGGCTCACACCTGTAATCCTAGCACTTTGGGAGGCCAAGGCAGGTGGATCACCTGAGATCAGGAGTTCAAGAGCAGTCTGGCCAACATGGTAAAACCGCATCTCTACTAAAAATACAAAAATTAGCCAGTCGTGGTGGCGGGCACCAGTGAGCCAAGATCACGCCATTGCACTCCAGCCTGGGTAAAAAGAGCAAAACTCCATCTCAAAAAAAAAAAAAAAAAAAAAAAAAGTCAGATTGCCAGATTGCCTTTGAATTCAGTAATATGTGTACAAAGTCTGTAAGTCAATTATATATTTTCTCTGCTTAGCTAGGAAATTACTGCTACTAAGCATTTGTTAAAAATTAAATCTTAAGTGGATGTGATTTTTTTTCTGAAAGGAAGTTTTCATTTTCAGAAAATAAGTTTTTTTTTTTGTTTTTTGTTTTTTGTTTTTTTTTTTTAGTTAAAATGCCCTGTTGGGTTTTTACAATTTTTAATGAGTTAATCTCCTTTTTTTTGCTGATCAGCGGAACAGAACAGAGAACCCCACAATAGATTCACACTGATATGGTCATTTGGTTTTCAACAAGGACATCAAAGCAATCCAGCAGGGAATGGAATGCCTTTTTTACAAACTGCAGAAAAATGATATCTATGAGAAAGAAGATTAACCTTGATGGCTCCCTCACTCCATACCCAACAATTAATTCAAGATGTGTCATAGTCCTAAATGTAGAAGCTAAAAACCATAAAGCTTTTAAAGAAAAGCATAGGAAGATATCCTAGTAACTTGAGAATAGATAGATGTATCTTAGCTCATAGAAAGCAATAATCAGGCAAAAAAATTGGTTTGACTTTATCAAAATTAAAAATGTATCATTAAAAAAACACCATTGGCCAGACATGGTGGCTCACACCTGTAATCCTAGCACTTTGGGAGGCTGAGGCAGAAGGATTACTTGAGGCCGGGAGTTCAAGACCAGCCAGGGGAACACAGTGAGACCCCCATCTCTACAAAAATATTAAAATGTTAGCAGGGCATGGTGGCGCGTGTCTGTAGTCCCAGCTACTCAGGAGACTGAAATGGGAGGATCACTTGAGTCCGGGAGGTCGAGGCTGCAGTGAGTCATGATTGTGCCACTGCACTTTAGCCTCGGCAACAGAGCGAGACCCTGTCTCCAAAAAAAAAAAAAAAAAACCCACCATTAAGAAAATAAATGGGAGCAAGCCACAGACTGGGATGTGTAGTTCATAAAGAACTATAACTCAATAGTAGAAAGATAATCCTAGTAAAAAGGGCAAAAATTTGAACTGATACATCACGAAACCAGATAGATGAATGGCCAATAAGGACATGAAAAAGCCCTCAACACCATTAGTCATCTGAGCTAAAATGTACTTCTGTATTAAGGATTTTTGCATGTTTTTACTGGGATTGTAGTCTGTCTTTCTTCCTTTGACTTGATTTGATTTTTTAAAAATAGACCTATTAAAATTACCTCTTAAAAAATTTGGTACTTATTATTTCTTTCAGGGAAAATACTCTGCATACCTTAAAACAACGGCAGCTGACTTCTTACGTTGGAAGTGTTCGTCCGCTTGTCACTGAATTGGTAAATGTTCTTTGAAATGAAAGTTGCCTTCAAAGTTAACTGATTTTTTTTTTCAGGCTGAGAATTTTTTCTCGTGGATCTTTGTTTTGCTCTTCTAAAGGTTTGCACACACTAACATTTTACTCTAAAACAACTAAGTTGCATTGGAATCTGATGGAATATATTGAAACATATCCGTGACCTTTGAATTGTAAGTAATAAGTTGTGGAAAGTATACTTAACTTGACAGCATTAAAAACAAATTAATTTTGGTCTTATCTTAAGATTTGACTGCCTATATAAGGTAGTGACTGACCTATGAAAGCTCTTTTATGTTGAAAGCAAGTGAAAAAAAACTAAAGCCTTATTGGTTTGAGGTTAGAACGGTTATTTGAAAAGTGGATTTGAAAAGAACTGAAGCTGAATTATTCTAAAAACAAAGGAATGAAGCTTTATGACAGGGCACGTGAAATGTTTATAGTGAAAAGAGAGAAATAAGTAACAATTGAAAAAAACTTCTAGAATTCCATTTAGTAACAAAGAGGTTTTTGATGAAAATTGTTTGGGAAAAAGAAAAAGAAAATTGTTTGGAAACTACTCTTAACAGCTTAAAATTGATTATAGCTAAATTACATTGTAGCAGGCAACAGCTGAAAATCGTTTAATCTTACCAGCTGGAAAGTGGTGATTTCCTTTTGCCAGAAAGAGACCATGTTCCAAAATTGAATTATGTGTTTGCAAAATATTTATGAAAGTAGTGAATTGATCTATTATGTATTCCATTTTCTGAATTGATATTCATATTACCATACACTAAGTAACATGTGGAGTAAGAATTACTTCCTTTCTTGAGTCACATTAAAATTGTTTTCCATTGGAAATCCATCATGTAGATCATGTGTGCTGTTTGCTGCTAAAGTGAGAACAATATATTATCCTAAATGCTTAGAAGCACATGGAAAAAAGGTAGGTAGAAATAACTGTTTTGGGAGATTTGTACTTATTTATTAGAAATCTGTTTAAATTTTTTTATTAGGCATTGGTGTTTTTTATGTGGCATTAATCCCAAAATAGGTCTTAATAGGCCCTCTTCCCATATGTTCTCAAAAAGTACCAGGTAAGCACTTTGTAGTCACAGAACAGAAGGTTTTTGCTTTGTGTTCTTCTTCCATCTAGGTCTAATTCTATTTAAACTTGACCATGTAGCTGCTGTGATAGAGTGAAACTCAAGTCATCTTCTAGTGTTACCTGGGCTGGGATAGGCTAGTAGTATTTCTGCCTTGCCTGACTGAGGCATGCCCTTTGTGGGCCAACTGAGTATGTTTTAAGTAGGGAAGCAGATGACTATGTGGCTATTTGGAACACTTGTAATCTTGTGAGAGCTTCATTCCCTTTGTTACTTAATTAAATTGAAACAATTTATTTCAGCCAGGCGCAGTGGTTCACGCCTGTAATCCCAGCACTTTGGGTGGCCGAGGTGGGTGGATCATGAGGTCAGGAGTTCGAGACCAATCTGGTCAACGTGGTGAAACCCCGTCTCTACTAAAAATACAAAAATTAGCTGGGCGTGGTGGCGTGCACCTATAATCCCAGCTGCTCGGGAGGCCGAGGCAGGAGAATTGCTTGAACAGAGGAGATGGAGGTTGTGGTGTGCTGAGATCGCGCCACTGCACTCCAGCCTGGGCGACAGAACAAGACTCCGTCTCGGAAAAGAAAAAAGAAAAAATGAATTTATTTGTGTATAAACTCAGGATAGGTTTATCATCTCTTGATGATGTGTAAAATGTATGTAAGTACAAAGGATTTATGGTTGATGATGACTTTTTTTTCTTCTTACAGGACCCTGATGCTCCCATAAGACAGAAAATGCCCCTTGATGATCTGGATAGAGAAGATGAAGTTAGATTACTCAAATATCTCTTTACTCTAATCCGTGCTGGAATGACAGAAGAGGTCAGTCATGTATACCCTTCTTGTCTAATTTCAAAAAGTCATAGACTCTTTGAGTTGGAAGAGATTTTTGTGGCTGCCTAGTAAGCCTTCTTAATGTAGTAATTCCATTCATGGTATTTCTAGATCTAACTTCCTGTTCGAACATTTCCGGTGATAAGGCACATGTAACTTGAGAAAACAATGTAATCTAGTTTGTACAACTCTAATTAATAGAAAATTATTTATAACAAGTCATACTTTTCTTCCCCATATTGCACTGCATACTCTAGGTATATCCCCATTATTTATTTTTTTGTTCCGTTTGAGATTTTTGTTTTTGTTTTTGTTTTTTTTTTGAGACAGTGTCTTGCCATGTTGCCCAGCGTAATCTCAAACTTCTGGCCTTAAGTGATCCTCCCGCCTTGGCCTTAAAAAGTGCTGGGATTACAGGCATGAGACACTGCACCTGGCCCAATCTCCATTCATTTTTTTTTCCTTTTTCTTTCTTTCTTTCTTTCTTTCTTTCTTTTTTTTTTTGAGATGGGATCTCACTGTCGCCTAGACTGGAATGCAGTGATATAATCATGGCCCACTGCAGTCCTTACCTCCCGGGCTCAAGCCCTGCCTCAGCCTCCTGAGTAACTGGGACTACAGGTACACGCCACTATGCCCAACTAACATTTTTATTTTTTGTACAGACGGAGTCTTACTATGTTGTCCAGGCTGATCGTGAACACCTGGGCTCAAGTGATCTTCCTGCATTGGCCTCCCAAAGTGCTGGGATTGCAGGCATGAGCCACTGCACCTGACCCAATCTTCATTATTTCTAATTCTGATTTTTCAGAGTTTAGAATAAACCTAACC
The DNA here is from genome assembly GCF_000001405.40 of Homo sapiens. Classification (NCBI taxonomy): domain Eukaryota; kingdom Metazoa; phylum Chordata; class Mammalia; order Primates; family Hominidae; genus Homo; species Homo sapiens. The sequence goes on from NC_000012.12 coordinate 68,716,584, forward strand.
CTAATTCTAGGTGATACTATTTAGGCACTTGAAGGCTACAATGGCCCTCAAACTTCTTCCTTTTAACCTTACCTTTTAAAAATGTGGGTGATAGTTAATATCTTATATGTAGAATGATAAGTATCTAATTGGACAGTTTACCAGATGCCTCTTTAGGTGAGATAGTGTGATGTGTAGGAGTTTGGCTTCAGTATTATGTTGTACTTGGTTTACAGTACTTTTTGCAATGGTCTTTAGACAGATTCTATGTCAGTTCAAAGTGTTGTTTGTTTTCTTCTGTGCTATCAACCATAAGCATATATTAATTTCTTATGTAATTTCTTTTTTTTTTTGAGATGGAGTCTCGCTCTGTCACCCAGGCTGGAGTGCAGTGGCGCGATCTCGGCTCACTGCAACCTCCGCCTCCCAGGTTCAAGCAATTCTCCTGCCTCAGCCTCCCAAGTAGCTTGGAATACAGGCACACGCCTCCACGCCTGGCTAATTTTTTGCATTTTAGTAAAGACGTGGTTTCACCGTGTTGCCCAGGCTGGTCTCAAACTCCTGAGCTCAGGCAGTCCGCCTACCTCAGCCTCCCAAAGTGCTAGGATTACAGGCGTGAGCCACCACACCCGGCCATGGGATTTATTTTAAAAAACAAAAATACAATCATATTATTGAAGGCTCAAAAAATAGAAATTCTCAAGGTCTCACTAGCTTTATAAAACCACAGATAGTGAGTGTTTTGTATTTACTTATAGCCCTTTTTCTTTGGTCTTCCTTTTTAAGGTAGTTGCAGTCATACTATACATTCAAGTTTTTTCCCTCTTTTTTAATAGCAATTTGAGATAAAATTTACATACCATGTAATTCACCCATTTCAAGTGACACCATTCAATGGTTTTGGTATATTACATTATTGATTTTGTGAATCGTATAATATATATTATTATATTATATAACAAAATGTGCCATTTTAATCATTTAAGTGTGCACTTCATGGCATTCATTACATTAACAGTATTGGGAAACCATCACCACTGTCTGTTTCTAAAACTTTTTCATCAACCCAAATACAAACTGTAACCATTATATGCAGTAACGCCTCATTCTCTTCTTCCCTCAGCCCCTGTAACCTCTAATCTACTTACTGTCTCTATGATGTATAGGTAGAATCATACAATGTGCTTTTGTGACTATCTTATTTCACTTAGCATAATGTTTTCAACATTCTATATTGAGTTTTTATCCTGCCTTTTTAAGATACCATATCAAAATAGTTTTCCATGTTAATTCTTACATAGCTCTCATAGATTTTAAAGGCTATAAGTTCAGAATGATGTTAGGGGTATGATATTCTTTAACTAGTTGTATCAATCAGGCTTTCTGGGTTCAAGTGATAGAAACCCAACCTAAGTTACTTTATGCTTACAAGAGGAGAATTGATTGGCTCATGGAAGTGGGAAGTATAGAAGGTATATCTGGCTTTCAGCAGGATCCAGGAACTCCAAAGATATCACTAGGATACTGTCTGTGTCCAAGACCCATAGCTCAACCCTCCTCTCTGTGCCTTCATTCCCAGAAAGCTACTCCCCATGTTGTATCAGAGATGGATACAAGAAGCTCCAAGCTTACATGGAGCTAGCAATCTCAGTAAAAGGAGTATATTTTCTTTCCCAGTATCTCCACCAAGAGTCCTGGTGGTGAATCTTGTTAGCTCACATCCCTAACCTTAGATTTCTGGAATCGGATCAGGCCTATCCAAAACACAGGAGCCAAGAATGGGGAAAAGGTGATTCCCTAAAGGGATGATGGAACAAAAACATGTATTTACCTTACTGGTATATAAACACATTGACTTACTGACTTATTGGTCAAGTTGAACATGCAGTATCATCAGTGGAGTAAATGAGCAGTAACAACCTTGTCATTAGAGACTGTTTTTTTAATAGTTTTTCATAAATCAGAGGTCATCAACCTCTTTAACCCCATTTGTTTCTAGCAGAATTAAATGCCAGTGGGTGCCGTGGGAACGTATTGTTAAGCCTAAAGTCAAACAGAAAAGGGATTTTTTAGAAATAAAAACAGGGCCAGGTATGGTGGCTCATACCTGTAATCCCAACACGTTGGGAGGCTGAGGTAGGGGGGATCCCTTCAGTCCAGAAGTTCGAGACCAGCCTGGGCAATATAATGAGACTCTGTCTCTACAAAAAAATTTAAAAAAGAAAGAAAAATAAAGGCAGAGGCCACAGAAAGGCATGCATATGTTTTAAAAATAGAATGCCATTATGTATGTATGTATGTATGTATGTATGTATGTATGTATGTATGTATTTATTTAGTTTTTGAGACAGGGTCTCACTCTGTCATCCAGGCTGGAGTGCAGTGGCGCAATTTCGGCTCACTGCAACCTCTGCCTCCTGGGTTCAAGCGATGCACCTGCCTCAGCCTCCCGAGTAGCTGGGATTACAGGTGCCTGCCACTGCGCCTGGCTAGTTTTCCTGTTTTTAGTAGAGATGGGGTTTCACCATGTTGGCCAGGCTGATCTGGAACTCCTGACCTCAGGTGATGCACTTGCCTTGGCCTCCCAAAGTGTTGGGATTACAGGCGTGAGCCACCACGCCCAGCCAGAATTCCATTATTAACTGTCTACATCCATCCCTTGTAATGGGATGGATGGAACATTTGTTCCATAAGTTATCTAAGCTTGTCATATATTGGTTATACTTTACTATAAAGCACCCTGGTTATTGGACTGACTGCTCTTTCTTGTTTTCTAAGGCACAACGACTCTGTAAACGCTGTGGTCAAGCATGGAGAGCTGCAACACTTGAAGGCTGGAAACTGTACCATGACCCTAATGTTAATGGAGGTATTTTAGTAGATTTTATTCTGACAGTTGAGGACAAAGGCATTTCGCTCTAAATGCCAATCTTTGTGAACTATAGCTTCTCTTTTTAGAAAGAATTGTAATAAGGTCTTATTTTAAACCAGAAATTTTCTTTTGCTATTTTATAGGAACAGAATTAGAACCTGTTGAAGGGAATCCATATAGACGCATTTGGAAAATAAGTTGCTGGAGAATGGCAGAAGATGTAAGATAAATAAAATATTCAGTGATACTGTTTTTAACTCCAATTAATTGAAAGCCTATTCAGGGGCTGTGAAACATTGAAAGTAGTGTAAAACTGGTTTTCAGAGAATTTCCAATTAAATTGAGGAATAGGCTTAACTACTTATCAGAATTATTAAAACACTGTGTACTAAGAATTAAACACTGATATAAGGCAGAAAAGTAAAGGAGGTACCAAATGAATTTAGAGAAAAAGTACTGGGCTAAAGCTTAAAGCTGGCTTCCCTGAGGAAAGAATTGAATTGAACTTTTAAAACTTAGTAGGATTTGCGTTGTTGAGAATGAAAAACAAGAGGAAGGAATTCCAGGTAGGATACATAGATTGGGAAACTCAAAGTAAGGTGGGTCTACCAGGTTGGAGTAGAATGCTTATAAAGGAAATAAAGTCAGTTCTGTTGTAACACGACATAGGTATTCAAAGTCATCACAATGTACAACATTGTGCAAAAACCCCACAGGACTTATAGGGAAATGGAGTTAAGAGAAAAATACTCAAAAACTTCATTAGTGATACATAAAATGATAAAAAGTTAATAAAAATGGTAGCACAGTTTTACATCTGTCAAACAGTTCAAAAAATACATAAATACTACAATAAATATGGCACTTTACCTTGAAAAAGGCCTAAAGTTTGCTTGTGGAATTGGATGTCAGGGTGGTAGAAGCTTTAGGGCACATGGCAGAAGTGTTTTTAAGAAGATCAGCATGGCAGTAGAAAAAATATACTTAAAATTAGATGGATAAAAGCCTGAAAAAGTAATTAGGAGCCTGTCAGAATTATTTGGACACTAAGTCATAAGGGTCTTTCCTAGGATAGTATTGATGATAATGGAAAGGAAGGAAGAGACACTGGTCAGGACCGGTGATTAGAAACAGAAGGCAGAGGTGGACTCAGTTATGCAGTAAGAGTCTCTGAAGTCTCTTGTTTGGATGATAAGAAAACTGGAAATACCATTAATAGAATCCCAAAAGTAAAATGGGGAATTAGTTAGTTCTATGTAGGAATTAAATGCAAACTAATGCATGCCTTGTTTTGATGTTGTACATAGGTCAGTATCAGAGAGTATCAGGTCAGTATCAGAATGTCAGGTATTGAGAAACATTCTAGGAGTAAATAACTATATAGATTGTATCTGGAATAAAATTTGATTTTAAATATTCAAAGCATCCACTAGAGTTGGATCTGCTTTCACCTGATATTTGGCATTTAAATGTTTTACTTTTTCCTCTAGATTTCAGCATTTATTATTTCATCACACTGAAGTTCTTCCTTGTTATTACCCCACTAGATCTTTCACTAAAGTTTAAAAACTATCAAGTGAATAGGTTCAGTCTAGAAGAGTTTGCAAGACTCCACATTATGAGGAAAATTGACATACTAAGAAAAACAATATTTCAAATTTGTTTATATTCATTGTGTTTTAGGAGCTTTTTAATAGATACGAGAGAGCAATTTATGCAGCTTTAAGTGGGAATCTTAAGCAGGTATGCAATCTGTTTTAATGTTTAAATTTTTTCTGTGGAGTAAAATTAAATAAAATATTCTAACAATTGTATATAACAAATATAAACTTAAGTTTGTATACTTAAGTATATACATACTTAAGTGTAGCAATGATAGAGATAATCATGAATCAGATAGTGACTTGTTCTGCTTAATTTGATGTATCCCATAACATGCATGGTATTTTAATGAATGAAATCAGATTTCAGTTTTTAACTAAGAATTGTAAATTTAACTCCAACACACATTTATTGATGACTTAAAATACTCATAGCTGTATGCAGAAATGTACCGGAAAGACACAGTGAGTCCTTGGGTTGTCTTACATACGCATGTTTTCTCACAACCCACTACTCCCTACATATTATAGCTATCTTTAGGGATACTATACTAATCAGTTGAAATGTCATATCAGCCTGGAAAACTGATGTTGTTGTTAACAGTATGAAAAAATCTGAACAGTTCAAACATCTTAGAAGATGTAGTTGGCGGAGGAAAGGTTATTTGGCATAATTTTTTTAAAATCTGCCGTGTTTTATATCATTATAAAGTGATTTTATAGTCTGTATCATTGGATGTAATTGCTTTTCCTTTCTTTTCTGTTGAATATGTCTATATGTTTCTGTTTTGTAATGGGGAAAAAGCTGCTTCCTGTCTGTGACACCTGGGAAGACACAGTTTGGGCCTACTTCCGGGTGATGGTGGACAGTCTGGTAGAACAGGAGATCCAGACATCAGTAGCAACTCTGGATGAAACTGAAGAACTCCCTAGAGAATATCTGGGAGCAAAGTGAGTTTGTTGGATTGTTTTGAGTCATGGTGATTTGTAGCATGCTCTTTGATGTTTCGTTTTACACCCCTTTTTCATATTATTAACATTATTCTTTTCCCGTTGTTTCTTTTGAAGCTGGACGTTAGAAAAGGTTTTTGAGGAACTTCAAGCTACTGACAAAAAGGTAAATGTTAATAGGAATATGTTAGGTATCTGGAATAGGAAACAGTGTTATTCTATTGTGCACTGTAGCTGAAAGGAAAAAGGTGGAACTTTCTCCCTTTTTCTCACCTATTAAAATAAGAATCATTCTTTGAAACGAAGAAACTTAATTACATAAATGATACATCATTTTTAGTTTTTTGTTTCGGATTAATTTCATCTAAGTATATGCACGTAAGCTATATTTATTCCTTTTTTAAAATTTAAAACACATTATGGAAAATTATTAAGACTTTATTTTCCTAGATCTTAAAATCTAATATTTTCTAAAAATTATATTCTTTTAAAAATGCTTAAACAACTGTAGTAATATTGTATGTACTTGTAACAATAAAATAATTTTAGAATGTATAAATAAAACCTTTATAGTAATTTCTACCCCTTTATGGTTATTCCCCTGAGATGATAAAACATACTGATATGTATCCTTCTATATTTCTCTCCATGATCTTACGAATATGTGTAAATAATGTAGATACTCCAATTTAGAATTTTGATTTTTGTGTTTTTCACATTTTACTACATATATTACTCTACAGCTTGATTTTTTTCATTTAATGATAATCTCCAAGTTAGTTTATTCATTTTCACTTAACCTTATTCTTTTTAATAAATACATAGTGTTCTTTAGAATAATGTATGATTTATTTTAATCATTCCCCTTTGGGTAGTATTTAGGTTATTTCTAGTGCTGTAATGAAGTTACATGTGTGTGTACTTAACTACTAGTCCTTCTGTTTCTTTGGGATAAGTTTCCTGAAAGCAGGGTTACCAGGTTAAGGAGTATAAATAAGTATATGCTTTATACATTGTATATACATACATACAGTGTTTCTGAATGAATTCTCTGAAGACATCAGGTTGTATACCTTAAAAATATATACAATAAAAATAAATAAAAAGGCCAGGTATGGTGGCTCACATCTGTAATCCCAGCACTTGGGAGGCCAAGATGGGAGGATCACTTGAGGCCAGGAGTTTAGACCAGCCTGGGCAGCATAGCAAAACTTCGTCTCTAAAAAAAAAAATTAGCTGGGTATGGTGGTGTACCCACTTGTAGTCCCAGCTCCTCCAGAGGCTGAAGTGGGAGGATCGTGGCTTCAGTGAGCTGTGATTGTACTACTGCACTGGAGCCCAGGAGGTCGTGGCTTCAGTGAGCTGTCATTGCACTACTGCACCCCAGCCTGGGCAACAGAGCAAGGCCCTGTCTCAAAGAAAAAAGAAAAATTAAATAGGTAGGTAGGTAGGTAAAGAAACATTTTGAAATGGATGCTGCATGCCTGTAATCCCAGCTACTTGGGAGGCTGAGGCAGGAGAATCACTTGAACCCAGGAGGTAGAGGTTGCAGTGAGCCAAGATCGCAACGTTGCACTCTAGCCTGAGCAACAAGAGCGAAACTCTGTCTCAAAAAAAAAGAAAAAATTGAAATGGAAAAATAATTTATTACCTGGTTGTGGCAGTTAATTCATACTTCCACAAGTAATTTATTGAATTATACATTCTCACCAGCCTCAAATGTCACACTTTTTATGTTTTGCCAATCCATCAGAGTAGGTGGGAAATAGGAACTTGCTGTTCTACTCACATTTTCTTGTCTATTCATAAGGCTGAGCATGTTTCCTTATGTTTATTGACCATTTGTGAATTTTTTGTTCATATCTTTTAGCTATTTTTCTGTGGTGTTTTATATTTTTCTTATTATTATATAGGAGCACTTGATATAGTAAGGAAATTAATGCTTTTTCTGTCAAGAGTTTATTACCAGTCTATTATTTTGGATATTCTAGCTAATGAAATAAAACAAGAAAATTAAGGAACAGATATAAATACTAGAAAGGGAAGAACATTTATATATGATAAAAATATTAGTCTAGAAACTTAAAGCTCAGTAAGTTACTAGAATTAATAAGAGAATTTGTTAAAGTAGCCAGATACAAGACAACGTTTTTTTTTTAAAAGTCAAGTCTTTCTGTGCTTGTTATAACTATTTAGAAAAGGATTTAGTACCCCCTCCCCAAAAGTTCCATTTAAACGAGTGACCAAAACTAAAGAGATCTAGGAATAAAAAATTAATCCAGGGTTTCAAGCCCTTCATTTAAAAAACTATAGAATCTTACTGAAGGACATAAAATAAGACATAAATAAATAGATATATCATGTTCCTCGATGAGGGCATTTAATATAAATGTCACTCATTCCAAAATTAGCATAAAAACCTAATGCTTTGGGGTATTACTTCTGGACAGAAAATTTTGTCAAGTAGAAGAATAATTGAGAATGGCAAGAGCATTTTGAAAAAGAACAATCTGGGTTTGGTGGCTCACACCTCTAGTCCCAGCAGTTTTGGAGGCTGAAGCAGGAGGATCACTTGAGCTCAGGAGTTTGAGACCGGCATGGACAACATGGCAAAACCCCATCTCTACAAAAAAAATTTTAAAAATTAGCCGGGTGTGGTGGCATGCTCCTGTAGTCCCAGCTTCTCAGGAGGCTGAGGTGGGAGGATCACCTGAGCCCAGGGAGGTGGAGGCTGCAGTGAGCCGTGATTGTACCACTGCACTCCAGCCTGGGCAACAGAGTGAGACTCTGTCTCAAAAACAAACAAACAAACAAAAAAAACCACACTGAAAGCAAAAAAAGTAGTTAGAGGGTACTTGCCTTACTCAATAATAACACTTAATATGAAGATACAACAAAACAGTATAGAACTGACATGAAAATAAATAGATGAGTGGAACACAAAGTCCAAACTAGATCCAAGTATATATGAGAACTTAACAGATGTCAGAGGTGACATTTCATTTCAGAGGGAAAGGGATGGTTTATTTAAATAAATGGCGCTGGCATAATTGGCTTTCCATCCAGAAGAAAACAAAGCTAGATCCTACTTCATGCCATGTAACTAAAATAAATTCCATATAGAGCAAAGGTTTGAATGTAAAAATTAATAAATGCTGAAAGAAAATTTAGACAGCCAACTAAATAAAAATTAAAATACGTTTGACAACAAAAAATGAACTATATTCTTCAAAAAATCAAGCTGCAAATAAGTTAGAAAAGGTTTTCTCTACTCTGTACCTGATCACTATTTTTTTTTTTCACCCTTGGTGCCATGTACAGAAGAGAATACTCAAAGAATGCTTTCATGTACTGCTGCTCATGTTGAAAGAAATCTTAATAGTTTATTTTGCTTAGGTCACATGAGTTCTTCCTTTCTCGTCCACCATGTGTAGTGCCAAGGTAAATAGGAATAAAATATAAGAATAAAAGTTTAATACCATTGAGAGATTAAATTGTTATAACATAGGTCTCTACTTTCAAAGATGCTTTTCAGTTCTGGATTTGTAAGCTGTGAGTATATTCCAAAGGCAGTATCCTTTCCATGTTTTATTTTGTTTTGATCTTTCTAAGGCCCTTCATTTCCAGCTTTTTCTTTCTATATGTTCCTTCAAAAGTTTAACATTTTTAGTTTAACAGTGAATATATACTACAGAATGACTGCTAGAAGATTTATGGAAAATTAAAAACTTTTTTTTCAGAGAGTTCTGGAAGAGAATCAAGAACATTATCATATAGTTCAAAAGTTTCTTATCCTGGGAGACATTGATGGTAAGATATGGTTTTATTTTACTTTGTGTTTTTTGTGTGTGTTTTTTTTTTTTTTTTTGAGACAAAGTCTCACCCTGTTGCCCAGACTGGAGTGCAGTGGCTCAGTCTCAGCTCACTGCAACCTCTGTCTCCTGGGTTCACAAGATCCTTCAGTCTCAGCCTCCTGAGTAGCTGGGATTACAGGTGTGCACCACTACGCCTGGCTAATTTTTGTATTTTTAGTAGAGACGGGGTTTCGCTGTTGGCCAGGCTGGTCTCCAACTCCTGACGTCAGGTGATCTTCCCTCCCTGGCCTCCCAAAGTGCTATATGTTATAGACATGGGATTGCAGGCATGAGCGACTGCACCCAGCCAGTTTTATTTTACTCTTTATGAGTTCTTCATTGTCTTATAGTGATTTTTTAAAGTTATCCAAACAATGCATGTGACTTACCATATCTTTTAATCTTGATAAATATTAACCTATTTGAATGCAACTATTTACTTTATGTCAGAGGTGACCTTTCATTTGGTTTTTATAAAATAAAGTTCGGATTGAACCCAAACTCTGTTTCAAAGAGGGTGTAGAGTTATATCATGGCTATTAATTATGAGACAGTGACTTGAAAGCACTATAGGAGTGAAATAAATGTTCTTGGTAATGTTTATTTTTTTCTTTTGATTTTATTCCTATTGTTGAATCTTCACTTTGATGGCTTGTAGGTTTGATGGATGAGTTTAGCAAATGGCTTTCCAAAAGCAGAAACAATCTACCTGGACACCTGCTTCGCTTTATGACTCACCTTATTTTGTTTTTCCGTACTCTGGGACTACAGACCAAGGTATATAAAAATGAACGATTTCTTCTTCTCTGTAATGTTGATGCTATATACCTATTGTCAAGAAAACACTACTTTTTTTATTATTGTTTTCTAGAAATGGTGATAAGGAATCAAAAGTCTTCCATATAGTCTTGTATAGTCACTCAATGATAACTCACTGAGAGTGGCCCTTTAGGGTTCTAGTCTGTGGCCACAGAATGCTGTTGGTTAACTGGTTTTTAATAAATTCATAACTTTATCCTTGTCTGTACCCAGCTTTAAATCAACCAGCTAAGCTAACTAAACAAAGTGAGTGCTATGTGAGATTTTAAAACTTTGTTGGTTGTTGTTTTGTTGCTTTTTTTCTAAAAAAGAAGATAACATTTTGGTCAGAGTGCATGTAGAAAGTGAATGATACAGTAGTTGAAAGCTTGGGCTTTGGAGTAGGAGTCCTGAGTATATACCCTTATTCAGCAGCTTCTATCTGTGTAACTCTGGGTAAATAAAACTTCCCTTGGTCCTAATTTCATCCTCTGTAAAATGTGAACAATAATAGTAACTACCCAAAAAGAGTTATGGTAAGGTTAAATCAGGCAGTAGATGAACTTTGGTAAGCACTTAGCTTGGTGTATAGTTACTGCTCAGTGGTAAACATTACAATTATTAAATTATTTAATAATGGAATTTGTATCAAAAATTTTGTTACTTTCATATAAGCAGTGTATTTATAATTATGTCTTTTTTTCCTATGAAGGAGGAAGTTTCTATTGAAGTTTTAAAGACATACATACAGGTAAACTTTGAGAACCTACAACCTGATTGTTTTTTACTATTTTAATGAAAACAAAACTCAGAATGATGCTATTTTAATTCTCAGTGGTAAGAAAGCATCAGAATCCATAAGAGATCTTTTAATTATCAGCACAGTTGACCTTTGAATAATGCAGGGATTAGGAAAACAACCCCCACCGCCCCGCACAATCAAAAATTCACTATAACTTTTGACTCCCCAAAAACCTAACTACTGATACCCTACTGCTGACCAGAAATCATACCAATAACATAAACACACAATTAACACATTTTGTATATTACATGTATCATATGCAGTCATCCCTCAGTATACTTGGGGGATTGGCTCCAGGACCCCCACATATAACAAAATCTGTGTATACTCATGTCCCACAGTTGGCCCTGCAGAACCTGCATATACGAAAAATTGGCCTTCCATATTTGCAGATTTCACATCCAGATAACACTGTATTTTCTAAGTTGAGTTGAAAAAAATTTATGCAGAAGTGGACCTGCACAGTTCAATCCCGTGTTGTTCAAAGCTCAACTGTACTGTATTCTTATGATAATGTAAGTTAGAGAAAAGAAAACATTACTAAGAAAATCATAAGGGGCTCGGCGAGGTGGCTCATACCGGTAATCCCAACACTTTGGGAGGCAGAGGCGAGAGGACTGCTTGAGTCCAGACGTTTGAGATCAGCCTGGGCAACATAGGGAGACCCTTCTCTCTACTACAAAAAATTTTTTTAAATTAGCAGGGCACAGTGGTTCATATCTGTAAACCCAGCTACTCGGGAGGCTGAGGCAGGAAGATCGAGTGAGCCCAGGAGTTGGAGGTTGCAGTGAGCTGTGATCTCGCCACTGCCCTCCAGCTGGGTGACAGAGTGAGACCATCTCAAAAAAAAAAAAAAAAAACAATCAGGCCAGACGTGGTGGCTTGCGCCTGTAATCCCAGCACTTTGGGAAACAGAGGTGGGTGGATCGCTTGAGCCCAGGAGTTCAAGACTAGCCTGGGAAACAGCGAAAACCTGTCTTTTTTTTTTTTTTTTTTTTGAGACGGAGTCTTGCGCTGTCACCCGGGCTGGAGTGCAGTGGCACCATCTCGGCTTACTGCAGCCTCCGCCTCCCAGGTTCAAGCGGTTCTCCTGCCTCAGCCTCCCGAGTAGCTGGGATTAAAGGTGCTGGCTAATTGTCTGTATTTTTAGTAGAGATGGGGTTTTGCTATGTTGGCCAGGCTGATCTTTAACGCCTGACCTCATGATCCACCCCCCTCAGTCTCCCAAAGAGCTGGGATTACAGGCGTGAACCACGACACCCGGCCTGGACCTGTCTTTTTTTTTTTTTTTAAGTTTAAAAATTAATAAATAACTTTTAAAAGTTAAAAAAAGAATAAATAATAAAAATCATAAGGAAGAGAAACTACGTTTATAGTACTATACTGTACCTGTTAATACTGTAAGTTTATGTTGTCTGTTTACAAGATGAATTGTCTATTTGAAATGGACAACCACAGTTACAGACCTCAATCTACAGTATATCAAGCAATTCACCTTTTTCTTGTAATCTCATGACTTTTCTCTGCTTCTTGGGAGAACTTCCAGTATCACTACTGGCACTTTGTATGGCTCCTGTGGTGTTATTAAGGGTTTATAGTATTGCACTAAAAAAAACAAGACCTGGGAAAGCTTACTTTTTATTGCAGTATGCAACTGAAGAGACCAACAGCTCTTCAGAGATGATTAGCATCACACGGCATTTTAAATGGATACTCACAGCACTTGAGCTCACCCCAGTAGTGGCAGGAAGTGGCTCTAAAGTTATTACAGTAGTATAGTATCTACTACAGTTAGTTGTATGCAGTTATGATTTAATACTGCATCTGTATGCTTGTTTACATTTCTCTAGACCACAATGTATGGTCTGTAAATGTGTGTACGTTTTGATAAATTTTAACTTTTTATAATAGATTCATATATATTTTATAGTAGTAAGTGATAAAATAGACCAGAATCTACATATAATGGATTTATGACATACCTTTTTTTTTATTTTTTATTTTTTTTTTTGAGATGGAGTCTCACTTTGATGCCCGGGCTGGAGTGTAGTGGCATGATCTTGGCTCACTGCCACTGCAGCCTCTGCCTCACCGGGGTCAAGCGATTCTCTGGCCTCAGCCTCCCAAGTAGCTGGTATTACAGGTGTGCACCACCACGCCTGGCTAATTTTGTATTTTTAGTAGAGACGGGGTTTCACCACGTTGGCCAGGCTGGTCTCAAATTCCTGACCTCAGGTGATCCAGCAGCCTCGGCCTTCCAAAGTGCTAGGATTACAGGTGTGAGCCACTGGCCTACCTAGCTTTTTCTTAATTTACTCAGTATTTCTAGGCTATTAATTTGTTTGTGAGTCTTTTTTTTTTTTTTGAGACGGAGTCTCACTCTCTCGCCCAGGCTGGAGTGCAATGGCGCAATCTCAGCTCACTGTACTGTACCCTCTGCCTCTTGGGTTCAAGCATGAATATTTTTCAAATTGTCACAAATCTCCAAAAAATGTTCTAATATATATATATTTAAATTAATGTATTTATTTATTTAGAGATAGGATGTTGTTCTGTCACTCAGGCTAGAGTTCACTGGCTAGATCATAGCCCATTGTAACCTCAGACTCCTGGGCTCAAACAGTCTTCTCCCCTCAACCTCCCAAGTAGCTGGTACTATAGACACGTGCCACCATGGCCAGCAAACTTATTTTTTATTTTTTTGTAGAGACTGGGTCTCACTATGTTGGCCAGGCTAATCTCAAACTCCTGCCCTCAGGGGTGATACTACCTTTTTTTTTTTTTTTTTTTTTGAGAGAGTCTCACTGTCACCCAGGCCGGAATGTGGAGTGTGGTGGAATGATCTCAGCTCACTGCAACCCACCTCCCAAGTTCAAGTGATTCTCCTGCCTCAGCCTCCCAAGTAGCTGAGATTACAGGCATGCGCCACCACGCCTGGCTAATTTTTGTATTTTTAGTAGAGACAGGGTTTTGTCTTGTTGGCCAGGCTGGTCTTGAACTCCTGGCCTTAGGTGATCCGCCTGCCTCAGCCTCCCAGAGTGCTGGGATTATAGGCAAGAGCTACCAGGCCTGGTCTCAAGTGATACTTCTGCCTCAGCCTCCCAAAGTACTGGAATTACAGGCGCAAGCCACCATACCCAGCCAATTTTCCAATATATTTATCGAAAAAAATCCACGGTTCAAACCTGTGCAGTTTAAGAGCCAACTGTACTCACTTTTTGGAATTTAAAATTATTCTGGGCTGGACACAGGGGCCCATGCCTGTAATCCCAGCACTTTAGGAGGCCAAGGTGGGCAGATCACTTGAGCCCAGGAGTTTGAGACCAGCCTGGGCAGCATAGTGAAAAGCCATCTCTACTAAAAAAAAATACAAAAAATTAGCAGGGCATAGTGGCATGTGCCTGTAGTCCCACCTACCCGGGAGGTTGAGGTGGGAGGATCACCTGAGCCCAGGAGACAGGTTGCAGTGAGCCATGATCATGCCACTGTACCCTAACCTGGGTGACAGAGTGAGACCCTGTCTCAAACAAATAAATATAAAATAAAATTATTCTGTTTAGCAACACAAATCCACATCTGTATGAACCTCTCCTGAATACATTTGAAATTTTGAAGTATACTTTTAATTTTATTATTGACATACTTTGATCTTTTTCTATTTTTTAGCTTTTAATAAGAGAGAAACATACAAATCTTATAGCATTTTATACCTGTCATTTGCCTCAAGACCTAGCTGTTGCCCAGTATGCATTATTTTTGGAAAGTGTTACAGAATTTGAACAGCGCCACCATTGCCTGGAGTTGGCTAAAGAAGCAGGTAAAAATGGTTGAAAACTTTGTCTTTTGGCCTTTCTAGGCAAATGTTCATTTTGGCTGTAGTAACATTTGTCCTTATAGTTTTAAATCTTATTTCTGTTGAGGGGAAAAGAGGAATAAAATTTTCAGGGAATTTCTGTTTTAGGACTAAAGTTACTTATGCTGTAACTCATATGTAAAATATCTTTTAATTCTGGCATTTTCTTTTATATAAATATCTTTCATATTTTACATATTTTATTTTTAAGGAATTACTGTTCCAAATTTACTGAATCATTATGACTATTTAGAGAATATTAGTATCAATGATTAATCTTTGTTTTTTGTCGCTTCAAAAAATTATTTAGATTTGGATGTTGCAACAATAACAAAAACTGTAGTTGAGAATATTCGAAAGAAAGATAATGGTGAATTTAGTCATCATGACCTGGCCCCAGCCCTAGATACTGGCACTACTGAGGTAATTTGGGATGGGGGGGCAGAGGTTTCTATAACTTCTAATAATCTTTTATGTTATTCCTTGGTGAACTTCTCCCTTCGTAAAAGAAGTTCTATTAGGTTTTCTTTTTTAAGAATGTGTCTTTGTCAGCCCAGACCTTTTAAATTTAAAGTCTTATGTAAAGGATTACTTATAGTAGTATGTTAAAGGAGCTTCTTTAATAGAAAAAAATCTCAGCTTTGGCTTGTTGCTCATCAGGTTATTTTAAATACTTGATTAATCACTAACTTATGTAGCTTGCTTACTCATATTTTCAGAAAGGAATAGAAAGTTATATCTAAGAAAACTATTTTAGAGTAACATTTAAAGGAATCACGTGGTTAAGTTGGTAAGGCATACAATATATAATTCCAGATTAATATTTTCTATAATTTATTTTTATTTTTATTTTCTTGAGACAACAAGGTCTAGCTCTGTTACCAAGGCTGGAGTGCAGTGGCGCTATCTCTGCTTACTGCAACCTTCGCCTTCTAGGCTCAAGCCACCCTCCCTCAGTCTCCCGAGTAGCTGGGATTACAGGCATGTGCCACCATGCCTGGCTAATTTTTTGTATTCTTTGTAGAGAAGGGGTTTTGCCATGTTGTCCAGGCTGGTCTCGAACTCATGAGCTCAAGAGATCCGCTCGCCTGGGCTTCCCAAAGTGCTGGGATTACGGGTGTGAGCCAGCATGCCCAGCAGTATTTTCTATAATTTAATAGAGAGCTGTTAAATATGAAAATACACTAAGGAAAGTTAGATGCTTTCATAATTTTGTATAACTTGAGAGAAAATGATGTTTACTGGAAGTACAGGTGTAAGTTAATTCTACTAATTTGTAGAATATCTTTAAAAAAAAAACTCTGATATTCCTTTTTCTTTTTTTCCCCTTTAATAAATAGGAGGATCGTTTAAAAATTGATGTAATTGACTGGTTGGTATTTGACCCAGCGCAGAGGGCAGAAGCACTGAAACAAGGCAATGCAATTATGAGAAAATTCTTGGGTATAGTATATTTTTATGCAGCTTCAAACTCCTGGGCTCCATTCTTCTTCCTACCTCAGCCTCCCAAGTAGCTGGGACTACAGGCACCCACCACCACACCCACCTAATTTTTAAAAAATTTTTTCTAGAGATGGGGTCTCACTATGTTGCCTAGGCGGGTCTCGAACTCCTGGCCTGAAGCAATCCTCCCACCTCAGCCTCCTGAAGTGCTGGGATTATAGGCGTGAACCACCACACCCAGATTTTTTATTCTTTTTTAAAACGTTTTTGTTCAAATTCGTGTATTTTTGAATTTGGGGTGGGGGGTTGCTTTTTGTTTTTGATCCTTCCATAGGGAGGAGAAAACCAGCCACTCTTTATCTATCAAACCTGGTATTATGAAACAAAATATATTTTAATGGTGAATTTTCATTGTCCTAATCAATTTTGCAAATAATCTCAAGGCTATCCGACTTTGAAAAATGAATTGCTTTAAGACATAAAAGTATGTAAAAGTAACTGCATTTGATGTATCCTTTTGTGATAGTATCACATTGAGATACGAAAAAGCCAGTCTATCAGGTAGAAAGATCACCAAGACCTTTAACAGAGTGCCTTGGGCCCTGAAATAGTTACAGGTCACTGTAAAATTGGTAAACCAGTGATTTGACTCCTTTAGAAACCATTACAGAGAAGTCCGTAGGCATTCAAAATTGTGTATCTTTTTTCACAGCATCAAAAAAGCACGAAGCTGCAAAAGAAGTATTTGTGAAAATTCCTCAGGATTCTATAGCAGAAATCTATAATCAGTGCGAGGAACAAGGAATGGAAAGTCCACTTCCTGCTGAAGATGATAATGCTATCCGAGAACATTTGTGCATCAGAGCTTATTTGGTGAGACTGTAAAGAAAGCCACAGATGTGCCTACTTCATGATGATTTTTCGGATTCACTCTCAGAGTTTGAACTTTTTTCTAGAAGTAGTGTTGGTTCATCTTACCTCTCTTGTGACTATAGTGCTGACTCATCCACAAGGGGACTGACTTCATGACCTTATCTTCATTAGCATGATTCTCTAATCAATGCTAACCAACCAAGATCATCTCACATGGTAGATAGTGTCTATGATGTCTGGAAGTTATGTTTTCTTAAGATTTTGTGATGCATGTCTCAGCTTTAAATTTCTGCTTTTTTCAATAACTGAGAAAAAGCAAGATGCTCTAGGTTTGTTATGACTAAAATAGCAGCATACTCATTCAAAATTCATTCAAGGCTAGATGCGGTGACTCACGCCTATAATCCCAACACTTCGGGATGCCAAGGCAGAAGCATTGCTTGAGCCTGGGAGTTCAAGACTGGCCTGAGCAACACAGTGAGACCCCTGCATCTCTACAAAAAAATAAAACAAAATTAGCCAGGCATGGTAGCATGTACTTGTAGTCCCAGCTTCTTCAGAGGCTGAGGTGGGAGGATCGCATGAGCCCAGGGAGTTGAGGCTGCAGTGAGCAGAGATCATGCCTTGTCTTTATTAGATCATGTACTCCAGTCTGGGTGACAGAGCAAGGTCCTGTCTCAAAAACAAAAAAAAAATTTTATTCAATAAATAATTATGTAATTACAGTGGGTTAGGTAGTAGGGCCAAATCTGTGGATAGCACCCTATCCTTGCCCTCTAAAAACTAATAGGCTAGTTAAGAAGACAAGTACACATGCATATGTTACAGAGCGATGAATGTCAAGATACATATACGATCAGGGTGCTCAGATTGGAGAATATGCCAGAAAACACAATATATATACCTTGTTTGTCACTTGACAAAACATTTATTCATGATATGAATTTTTGGAGGGAAAAAAATATATATTGAACAGTTTTATTTCTTGATGCTGCAAAATTATTTCTAAGAATCAAATGTTAAAAATGTTGGTGAAACGATAAAAGTGAAAACTTTTGTTATTTTATATTTTGGTTTTTTTATTTCACATTTTAGGAAGCCCATGAAACCTTTAATGAGTGGTTTAAGCATATGAATTCAGTTCCACAAAAACCTGCTTTGATACCTCAACCAACTTTTACTGAGAAAGTGGCTCATGAACACAAAGAAAAGAAATATGAAGTAAGTTAAATATGGATCTAGGATGTGCCTACTGCATCTTATAAATGTGTGTTGTATATTTAAAGAGATCGTTTCTTCAGCAACTATCTTTCGATCATAACAGGTAATCTCCCTGTTAATGTCCTGCTTTGGAAGATGCAATCTGTTTAGTTACTTTTCTGTAGGTAATTAACCAAACATGAAAAATGCCTTCAGGTGACATGAGCGTTCATTTACAAAGTTAACATTTTAGCGTTTTACTTAACTGCAGTCTGTTGATACTTATTTTTGTACTTGGCAGACTGAAACATCAACTCTTTAGAATGATGTTCTATATGTATGTTCCTGTCTGTATTTTCCAAATACATTATTTATTGGGTTTTATCCATTATATGTCTGCCTTGTGTTTGTTTTGCAGATGGATTTTGGTATTTGGAAAGGGCATTTGGATGCCCTAACTGCTGATGTGAAGGAGAAAATGTATAACGTCTTGTTGTTTGTTGATGGAGGGTGGATGGTGGATGTTAGAGAGGTAAGCTGTGTGCATTGTTTATAGCCAAAAACCAAAACACTCACCATGTTCTTTTTTAAAAATATTCTGTCTCTAAATGGGAGCATCTACAGATTTTACATAATTGTAGATATAGCTAAATCCCATGTTTTAAGCTAAACTGAAAATACTACCTAGGGAATGGGAATATTTGATTCTTGGATAAACTATTAGTTCACATTTACTATGTTCACAGAGGATACAAAAATCTAATTTTTAAAAAATTCTGGACCTAAAAATTTAATTATACATGTATGTCACTCCATTTACAGATATAAAGATAACTCGAGTAGTATCAGTAAGGCATAGCTAAGGTAGGGGCTCTCACCTCTGGGCTGTCCATTTTAATGACCTGGCAGACTTTTTAAAAACACTACAGGGTTCCACTCCCAGAGATTATGGTGTAATTGGTCTGAGGTAGGGCTGGGGTTTATTTTTGTTTTTTTAATCACTTGCAGTGCTTTAATATAATATATAGCCTGTGTTGAGAACCAGCTACAGAAGTATCAAGTGCCATAAGAAAGGCACAGGTTAAGTATTTTCTGAGTCCAGGAAAAGAAAAGATTGTTTTCACCTGAAAGGGAACTGGAACGTATGCTTGAAATGTATAGCATTTGACTGAATCTTGAACATACTGGTAGAATTTGGATGAGCTGAGATGGGAGAAAGGAAGGATACTGAGATAATAGTCATATAAGGGAAAGACATTGCAGCCTGACCCTGGTGCATGACAGAAACAGTGAGTAGCTTAGTTTATCCTCTGTAGACCTGAGGAGCTGTCTGAGAGCTGGAAATACTGGCTTCTTGGATATTTGATGTGTTATTTTGAACAAAGAAAACAGTAAGTGTTCTTGGTATCTTTCCTTTTGCCATTCTTCATACCCTCATCTATTTAGTACTTTTTCTTTAATTTTAGCTATTGCATTTTTTTTTTAGCCTGTCTTCTCTGACCAGAAGGAGGAAAAAGAATACAGGCAGGACAGCGAACTAAATTTGAGCCCCTATTTGCCACTATTACTGATGGAGTAATTATCTTAAATGTCTCCACTTTATTTTTTCTTTTTTTGTTTTAGAGACAAGGTCTTGCTCTATCACCCAGGCTGGAGGACAGTGGCTTCATCATAGCTCACTGCAGCCTCAAACTTCTGGGCTCAAGCAGTCCTTCTGCCTCAGCCTCCCCAGTAGCTAGGACAACAAGCACACACCACCATGCCTGGCTTTTTTGTTTGTTTGTTTTTGACACAGGATCTTGCTGTGTTGCCCAAGCTGGTCTTGAACTTCTAGCCTCAAGCTGTCCTCCCACCTTGGCCTCCTGAAGTGCTGCGATTACAGGCATGAGTCAATGTGTCGCCACCTTTTTTTTTTTTTTTTTTTTTTGAGAAAGAGTTTTGCTCTTGTCGCCCAGGCTGGAGTGCAATGGCACAATCTTGGCTCGCCTCCCAGATCCTCTTGCCTCAGCCTCCCAAGTAGCTGGGATTACAGGCATCCACCACCACACCCAGCTAATTTTTGTATTTTTAGTAGAGATGGGATCTCACCATGTTGGCCAGGCTGGTCTCGAACTCCTGACCTCAGGTGACCCACCTGCCTTGGCCTCCCAAAGTGCCTGAGATTACAGGCGTGAGCCACTGCGCCCAGCCAAGTCTCCACTTTTTATCCTAACGTTCGTAATAGAACTCCTTTGACTCGTTTTAAACCTTCCACAGGTTCCTCTGGCAAAACCTTTCTCATCTGATTCATGCTGATTCTCTTGAAGATAAAATTTTAATGTTGTAAAATGCTAATTAAGTGTCACTTAAATTTTGAAAAGACTTCAATGCTTTATTTATACATACATCTTTGCTATTCTAATTATTAATTAAGTAGATTAGGTAGTGAAAGCCACAAAATAGTCTTGGGATCTCATAAAATTAGAGTTGAGGCCAAGCGTGGTGGCTCACGCCTGTACTCCTAGCACTTTGAGAGGCTGAGGTGGGTGGATCACCTGAGGTCAGGAGCTTGAGACCAGCCTGGACAACATGGGGAAACCCCGTTTCTACTAAAAATACAAAAAAATTAGCCTGGTGTGGTGGTGCATGCCTGTAGTCCCAGCTACTAGTGAGGCAGGAGAATGGCCTGAACCCAGGAGGCAGAGGTTGCAGTGAGCCGAGATCGTGCCACTGCACTTCAGCCTAGGTGACAGAGTGAGACCCTGTCTCAAAAAAAAAAAAAAAAAAAAAATGGAGTTGAGATGGAAGGCAATGAATGATACACCATTTTGTTTCATCAGGGATTTTAAAATCAATATTCAGTCTCAATTATTTCTTTAAAACTTCAGTCTCAATTATTTCTTTAAAACTAATCCAGAAAAGAGATTTCTTGAACAGTTAAATGATTAATAACATTTTAATCACCTTTGTTGAGCCTAATACTCTTACATAGTCAATGACGTAGGGCATTGTTCAAGGCCCCTGCTAACACGTGTCACTTGTATGTGAATTAGAAAATTGTAATTCTATCTGGGAACGGTGGCTCATCCCTATAATCCCAGCACTTTTGGGAGGCCGAGGAGGGCAGATCACGTGAGGCCAGGAATTCGAGACCAGCCTGGCCAATATGGTGAAACTCCGTCTCTACTAAAAATACAAAAAATTGGCCGGGCACGGTGGCTCACGCCTGAATCCCAGCACTTTGGGAGGCCAAGGCTGGTGGATCAGAAGATCAGGAGATCAAGATCATCCTGGCCAATATGGTGAAACCCTGTCTCTACTAAAAATACAGAAAACTAGCCAGGCATGGTGGCACGTGCCTGTAGTCCCAGCTACTTGGGAGGCTGAGGCAGAAGAATCACTTGAACCTGGGAGGCGGAGGTTGCAGTGAGCCGAGATTGCGCCACTGCACTCCAGCCTGGCAACAGAGCGAGACTCTGTCTCAAAAATAAAAATAAAAATACAAAAAATTAGCCGGGTGTGGTGGCTCGCGCCTGTAATCCCAGCTACTAGGGAGGTGGAGGCAGGAGAATCGATTGAACCCAGGGAGGCGGAGGTTTCAGTGAGCCAAGATTGCGCCACTGCACTCCAGCCTGGGCAACAAAGGGAGACTCCGTCTCAAAAAAAAAAAAAAAAAATTGGAATTCCCTTCCCTTACATAGATAGGTTCCATGGCAAGTGCACACAATATGTAAGACAGAACACAGGCTAGATTTCAGCCCCACTTACTTGCTTGGCCAGCCACCCTTGTACAAGGCACGGCTGTACACAATAGCCCTAGCATTATGTGCTGTTTTCGTATAGCTACCCCTCAAGTTTTTAAATAACTGGAATAGTCCCCTTAGTGTTGGGGCTGGTGGCACAGAGGAATGGCAGAGAGAATGGAGCAGGCAGGTCATCTTTACCTACCTTTCACTACCTCTACCTCTAGCACATTCTAGTCCAAGCCTCTACTGTCTTCCGTGGCTTCTCACTG
Source organism: Homo sapiens (assembly GCF_000001405.40). Lineage (NCBI taxonomy): Eukaryota > Metazoa > Chordata > Mammalia > Primates > Hominidae > Homo > Homo sapiens. The sequence goes on from NC_000012.12 coordinate 68,738,807, forward strand.
TTCTTTATACAATCGTTCCTTATACAGATGGACTAGTGACCCTTTCAGAATAAAATACATGCGACTGTCTTACCCAGAACTTTCTGATGCCTTCTTATTGCACTTGGAATAAAATCTTTCTTTTCTTGATGTACAAGAGTATACATACTTTTGTTTTGTTCTTTTTTTTTTAAACTAACCCCCTAATCTTGTGTCCTACTGCTCTCCCATCACTATATCCTGGCATTCTGGGCCTCTTCATTGGTTCCCCTCTGCCTAGAATGCTCCTTCGCCAAGATAGGTGCATGGATGACTTTGTACTTCTTTCAGCAGCTGCTCAAATGTCATCTCTTTCAAGAACCTCTCCCCAACCCAACCACCCTATTTAAAATAGCATGTATGCATGTGTATACACACACACACACCTGTCCCTTTTAATCTCCATATCCTACATTAGTTTTCTTCATAGCACTTAGCACAATCTGATATAAAACATATTAATTTATTTGCTTTTTGTATGTCTACCCTCATTAGAATATAACCTTCATGAAGGGAGTAACCTTGTTTTCTTTATTTCTTTGACTCTGGCACTTAAAATAATGCTGAGCACATGGGAGGCTTTCAGTGGTACTTAGTAAATGAATGATACTGCATTACTGAGGTGAATGTACTGTCTTCAGATTAGGAATAGCTGTAATATCAGTTCCAATCAACTCTTGCTATCAACACATATTAGGTAATGAGTTTTTCTCACATGTAAGGCACTACATGGGGGGGCGCGGTGGCTCACGCCTGTAATCCCAGCACTTTGGGAGGCTGAGGTGGGCAGATCACGAGGTCAGGAGATCGAGACCATCCTGGCTAACACAGTAAAACCCCATCTCTACTAAAAATACAAAAAATTAGCCGGGTGTGGTGGCGGGCACCTGTAGTCCCAGCTACTCGGGAGGCTGAGGCAGGAGAATCGCGTGAACCCGGCAGGCGGAGCTTGCAGTGAGCTGAGATCGCGCCACTGCACTCCAGCCTGGGCGACAGAGCGAGACTCCGTCTCAAAAAAAAAAAAAAAAGTGGAAATATCCCTAGTGGAAATAATCCGTCTGTTTTACATATTTACCGGCTATTTCAAAGCTTTTGTTCATTCAGATGAGAAAAATGTCTTCAGTTGTAGCAGAGCTGTTTATTTGCTTTTCCTTGTAGCAATTTGCTGGGTCTGTCAGCCATTACCCTGGATAGTTGCTGGCAGCCCGCCCGCTAGTATCGGAATTCATTATAATTAGCAGAAGAGATTGTCTGCAGCACACTCTGATATTATGGCAGCAAAAGGATTTAGTAAAAGCAAGTCTGGGTCCATCCTGTGAGATAAGAAAGTAACCTGCTGCTTTTCGGGCAACAAGGAGTCAGAAGCCAGGGGCACCCGGCCTCTTTAACATAGACAGAAAGACTACATTGGAGCACAAATGGAAAGGTCCAGAAAGAAGCAGTTCTCTTATTCTTACTGGGTTCTAGGTTGGGATCACTAATATGAATTACAAGTAAAACCTTGAAGCATTTTAAATCCACCTCTGAAGGTAGCAAGTATCTATTTGAGAAAAGAAATAAAGGTGCTTCCCTTGTAAAGAAGCACTTTAATATTTGCTTTTATGTATTTATGCTTCAAACAAGACCAAAATATTGATAGTAATTTTTCCTATGTTTGGAAACCTGACCTAGATTAGCCCAAATTAGTACAATTACTCCTTGGTATAATTACCAGATTATACTTTGTTGTTGATTAACCCCTCCACTTACATGTCCATTTGAAAAATGTTTTAGCAATTTAATATAGCCTCTCACATGAAGATACTTTTAGGTATTCCATTAGGCTTTTCAAAGGAGCAGTTATTATTTTAGCTTGTCCTGTTTTTTTTTTCTACACTATTAGTGCTATTGATTTCCTTCCTATTTTTAAGATTATTTCAGAAATTGTAGTGTGTAATTTCTGTAATCCCAGCACTTTGGGAGGCTGAGGCAGGAGGATCACTTGAGCCCAAGAGTTCGATACTAGCTTGGGCAACATAGGGAGACCTCATCTCTACAAATAATAAAATTATTTTTTTTTTTAAATAGAAAAATTAGCCGGGCATGGTGGCACATGCCTGTGGTTCTTAGCTACTTGGGAGGCTGAGGTAGGAGGATTGCTTGAGCCCGGAGATCAAGGCTTCAGAGAGCCATGATTGTACCACTGCATTCCAGACTGGGCGACAGAGTGAGATGCTGTCTCAGAAAAGAAGAAAAAGGTTAAAAAAGAAAAGAAAAAAAAAAGAAATTATGTGGTTGGTTACTTTCTAATTATTTTAATTTTCAAATTTTTTGTAAGTAAATGTAGTGGGCATAAGAGGTTTACTCTTTTTTCTGTACTTTTACTGTTCACATCGATTTTAAGAAAGATCCATGTATGTATAAAGGAATGCCAATTGTTTTTTCTGCTTGTTTTCCTTATATATCTGTTCTGACTCATTAATTGTATTATTCAAATCTATAGGTTCTGTTTTTCTGTTTTTAAAAATTATATAAAGAAATTATAAATTCCATTTTCCATGTGTATAAGCAAAGTAGTCTGCAATGAAGTTGACCCTCCCTGTGTGCCCCTCCCCACATCGTCTTTTTCCCAGCAACAGTCATTGCTGTCAGTCTGTTGTGTCCTCTCAGGCCTCCTTAGAGCTATCTTTATTTATATGTATAAACATCCAAAGGAGTGGTGATTGTTTTCTGTTCTGATTTTTGCTCTAATGATATTCAGTTTCCAACTCATTCTTTTTATGCATGTTTTTATTCAGGACATAGTAAGTTTATTAGAAATACAAATGCAGAAGCATTTTATTTTCACTGTCATACCTCTCTGTAGTCTACGTTGTTCATCTTCATACTTTTTTGCTGTTAAATCTTGTCTACCAATTACATTCTGGGTTTGATTCAGTACCTGGCTTTTCTTTTTGTAAGGATCTTTAGCTTAAATTGTTAAAATGATTTATTGATGTCTGTTTGTAGGATGCCAAAGAAGACCATGAAAGAACACATCAAATGGTCTTACTGAGAAAGCTTTGTCTGCCAATGTTGTGTTTTCTGCTTCATACGATATTGCACAGTACTGGTCAGTATCAGGAATGCCTACAGTTAGCAGATATGGTATCCTCTGAGCGCCACAAACTGTACCTGGTAAGTTCTAGAGCCTTGTAGTTTTAAATTTTAATGATTTGATATGCTCTGTAGTAATATTAATTTTGTGAAGATGTGTTTACATTTGTAATTGCTCTTGGATTTTCTTAAAGTAATAGTCCAGTTTTAATGTTTTAATGTTTGTACTTTTTTCCCAAAATGTGTGTATATTTGTAAGCAGTTAGAAATATATAGACTGACTCTGAGAATTCACCTTGAAATTCCTGAACCACTCTAATTTACTAGGCTCTGGCTACATAAATCTTAAAGAGGCATTTCTTCTTATATGAAGCTAATCAGATCGATTAGGTAACTAAGTTCATACTTGTCTACTTGTCTTTGTTCTCATTCTTATTTCTCTTTTTAAAAATCAGGTATTTTCTAAGGAAGAGCTAAGGAAGTTGCTGCAGAAGCTCAGAGAGTCCTCTCTAATGCTCCTAGACCAGGGACTTGACCCATTAGGGTATGAAATTCAGTTATAGTTTAATCTTTGTAATCTCACTAATTTTCATGATAAATGAAGTTTTTAATAAAATATACTTGTTATTAGTAATTTTTTCTTTTGCATTACCATGTAAAATTTAGACATTTGAATTTTGTACTTTTCAGAATATTATCGTGACACTTTCAACATGTAGGGATATCAGCGTTTCTCTGTGTGCTTGTTAATAAAACTATATAAAAATTAAAATTTTCTGTTTTTACAAATTCCAGGGTTGTCTCTTTTTCATGTAATAAGAAAATTAAATTTTCTGTTCTAGTTTTTTCTGTAATCATAAGCATTCTGATATTTTAAAATCATAAAGATGATGGAAAGTAGATTTATTTTTAAGCCAGGTACGTAATTTTTTATTTATCATAAAATTTAGTATTTTTGAATATTAAAATTAAGAAGATGACTATAACAAGAATTTTTCTAACATAACATGCTATTATTATTTTAGTTATTTTGAAGACATTTCTAGTTTAACTTTCATTTAGCAAACTTCCTATCAAAATAAGAGCATATAAAGACTTAGCGTAGTACCTGGCACACAGTAAGCACTGAATATATTGGAGATTACAGATCCCGCTCTTCTAATAGGGGAAATACCATAAGTACATTTAAAAGGTGTCATTTAAAAATACAAGTAGTGGCTGGGTGCAGTGGCTCACGTCTGTAACCCCAGCACTTCGGGAGGCCGAGGCAGGTGGATCACCTGTCGTCAGGAGTTTGAGACCAGCCTGGCCAACATGGTGAAACCCTGTCTCTACTAAAAAAATACAAAAATTAGCCGGGCATGGTGGCAGGTGCCTGTAATCCCAGCTACTCAGGGGAGGCTGAGGCATGAGAATCTCTTGAACCTGGAAGGCAGAGGTTGCAGTGAGCCGAGATCACGCCACTGCACTCCAGCCTTGGGGACAGAGCGAGACACTGTCTCCAAAAAAAGAAAGAATTACAAGTAGTCTGAGCAGGAAGAACCTCTCTCCAGCTGAAAAGACTCTCAGGAAGTAGTATTGGTTTGGGGTTTGAGTAATGCACTGAATTTGCAAAGGCAAAGAGTGACACAAGAAGGATGAGGCTCTATAGATTAAGAAATCAGTATGAGCAAGAAATGATAAATGCTGGGCATTATTATGAACCAACAAATACACCAAATAGGCTAGAGTGTAGGGCTTATAAACAGGAGACAACTAAAAGAATGTGATTCTAATAGAAAACAGTAATTCCCCAAACTTGCTAATCATCTAAGGAATTTCTTGAATATGTATTTATAGATGCCACCCCTAGAGACAGCTGGCTTGGGAAGCCTGAGATGGGATCATAGAATTTGATCAGTTCTATATTATGTGCTTTTTTTGTTTTATTTCTCTAAAGAATTCATCTTGTCTTCCTGTTTTCTTTATTCTTACTAATATGCAAATGATTTTTACAGCTCATGCAGTCCTGTAATCATGATTATTGCTATGCTACTTTGCAAAAAATAAAAACAAAAAATTCATACCAAAACAAATACAGACTAGATTTGGGGTGGGGAGGGGAAATAAGTGAGTCTTAAAAGTAGTTTTGTTACTTGCAACAAACTGTATATATAGAAACTTTGTACAACCCAGGGTGACTATTTCCAAAGACTGTTACCTATTTGTTGAACAACAGTGGGAAAACTACTTAGCCTAAATGAGGAGGAGGAATATTGTATGCTTCCATCGTAACCGTATGTGGGTAAATGGACAAGGTCTGTCATCTATTTAGGAACTTGTTTTGCATGTCCCCCACTCTGTATTTGTCTTTTGTTGTGCCTTGTTTTTTGAATGTCCTTTAAAAAACACAGCACAGAAACCCACTAAGGTTGTGGAATTACAAAATTCCTTCAACCTTAGACTCTTAATTAGGATGCCCTCAAATGGACTTGTTTTTAATTTTTATTTATTTATTTATTTTTGAGACATGGTCTTGCTCTGTCTCCCAGGCCGGAGTGCAGTGGCATGATATCTCACTGCAAACCTCCGCCTCCTGGGTTCAAGCGATTCTCCTGCCTCAGCCTCCCTAGTAGCTGGGATTACAGGCGCCTGCCACCACGCCTGGCTAATTTTTGTATTTTTAGTAGAGACGGGGTTTTGCCATGTTGGCCAGGCTGGTCTCAAACTCTTGACCTCAAGTGATCCACTCGCCTCGATCTCTCAAAGTGCTGGGATTACAGGCATAAGCCACTGCACCCAGCCAATTGGACTCCTTTGAGTCCTTAGGGAGTCAATGTGTGTGTTGCTGCTTATTTAAATACAGTTCAGTTGGAGCCCCAAGAGTGCCAATGTGCTCCTCACAATTCCCAAATGCCTCTCTTCCTGAACACCAGAAGTGGTGGGCACCTGAGTGGGAAATTTCAGGCAACTTAATTTAGTTCCTCAGTGCCTACTCTTGAAGAACTGGGTTTTCATTCTAGAGAGGAAACTCAGGGAAGGGCGTGTTGCCTATCACAGGTTCGCATACTAAGTTTTAAAAACTTTTCTTGGTGTGACTTATGCCAAGGAATTATGAAGACTTTTTCCTTGAGCATTGCATGAAGGCTACAAAGTTGGAACAGGCATGTCCTGGGTGTGAAAGTTTTAATTTCCCTACCTCATTTATTTATTTAATTTAGAGATGGGGGTCTCACTATGTTGCCCATCCCGGCTTCCAACTCCTGGGCTCAAGCAATCCTCCCACGTCAGTCTCTCAAATAGCTGGGACTACAGGCCCACGCCACCATGCCCTACTTCCTCATTTATTTTAAATTTTTTGTACCACAGTCTCTCTTTTTAATTTTATGACTGCTGAATTAATCCTAGACTCTGTCTTAAAACTAAGAATTGATGTATTGGCAGGAACAGCTGGACATTCAAGATGTTTTTGTGATTCCTTTTTTAAAAATCTCCTTTTGTACCTGTAATATCTACAATATATAATCTTTCTTTATCGACTTAAGGAGGAAGGAGAAAGGAAGAACCTGACTTCTGTGTGAAGGACCTTACTGTCGATCAAGACTGTTACTCAAAGTTCTATCTCTTAGTCATTGCACCTGACCTGATCCAAAACATATATATATATTTGTATGCACCCCTAGAGACAGCTGTATATATATACGGTTTTGCCAGGTTGTACGTTTTTTTCTCGAGTTGTAAGTGAACACAGTAGCACTCGTTTACATTGTCAAGGGGACATCTTTAGAGAACACATTTTCTCACTGTTGAGCTAATAATGCTTTGTGAATGTATGATCTAAGGAGAAACCCTTGTAGTTATACCCGATGATGCTGTCTGTTGGAAAGTAAATTTTGAATGTCTTTTTCCAAAAATAAAAAATAAAAACATGCTTTCAATAAGTTCTTTCCCCCCTCTGGCGAGGGCTACTAAATTTGCTCAGCATTTAATACGTAAAATTGGCTAACAGTGTCTGCACAGCCAGAGAGAAGTTGTCTAGCAAATCGGGTCAATGACACACAGGAAACAAACATCAAGAAAGGGGTCCTAGATTGGTCCAGTCAGGTAGGCGTTAGGTGACCAAGGGGGTCGGGGACCCAGAGGATAGGACCCAAAGACGCAAGCGTCGCGCGCCCAAGGCTCAGCGCGCCTGCGCAGGGTAGCGGCCGTTCAGCCAGCGGCTCGGGGGCGGAAGCACTGGAGCCCCGAGTCACGTGGCTGCGGGCGGAGATGAGCGGGGCGTGGGACGTGCTGCGGCGTCCTAGCTGGCTTACAGGGCGGCGGCGGGGTGTGTGTCCTCTGTTAAGAGTGCTACTCGCCCGGGGTTGATCTGTGCATGCCACTCCTGGGTCAGACGGTGAGGTCGGCGTCTGCGAGGACGCGGCGGTGGAGTAGAAGGGCAGCCGGAGACAGGCCCGGCGCCCCTTCCGAGGCTAGACGGCCCCAGCTTCGCGGGGATCATGGCATTGCTGGTGGACCGAGTGCGGGGCCACTGGCGAATCGCCGCCGGGCTCCTGTTCAACCTGCTGGTGTCCATCTGCATTGTGTTCCTCAACAAATGGATTTATGTGTACCACGGCTTCCCCAACATGAGCCTGACCCTGGTGCACTTCGTGGTCACCTGGCTGGGCTTGTATATCTGCCAGAAGCTGGACATCTTTGCCCCCAAAAGTCTGCCGCCCTCCAGGCTCCTCCTCCTGGCCCTCAGCTTCTGTGGCTTTGTGGTCTTCACTAACCTTTCTCTGCAGAACAACACCATAGGCACCTATCAGCTGGCCAAGGCCATGACCACGCCGGTGATCATAGCCATCCAGACCTTCTGCTACCAGAAAACCTTCTCCACCAGAATCCAGCTCACGCTGGTGAGTAGCTTCAGCTTCCCAAGGCGCCGCTCTCCCGACCCACCTCCTGCACTGGCCCCGGGAAATTCGAACGCACACTGGTCTTTCCCTTCATCTTGAAATCCACAAATGAGTCATCTGTGGGCATGTGAACTTTTAGGCTTATTTTAGGGAGGGGGAAAAGGCCATCTTGTCAGCCCAGAAGAGTGGGCATGTGTGAATTTTAGTAGCTGCCATTTGATGGAAATCGTTAAATGCTGTGATCGATAAGAAAAAAAGCTGTATTGGGTGGTACAGTCCAGTGTTATCAGAATATCTGCAAAAGCTCAAACAAAAACAGCCTTTCTCCCCCAGGGGAATCAAATCGTGTATGATAAAACGTGAAAAGATGTAGCATAAAGTAGGTCTCAAAACGTCTGCAGCACCATACTTTAGAGCTGTCTGCATCTTTAAATAAAAGGAGGTGGACTCAATTTTAGCACTTAGTAACTTATTTAAGGTCTTTTTCTTTTTTTTTTTTTTCTTTTTGAGACGGAATTTCACTCTTGTTGCCCAGGCTGGAGTGCAATGGCACGATCTCGGCTCACCGCAACCTCCGCCTCCCGGGTTTAAGCGATTCTCCTGCCTCAGCCTCCCGAGTAGCTGGGATTACAGGCATGCGCCACCACGCCCGGCTAATTTTGTATTTTTAGTAAAGACGGGGTTTCTCCATGTTAATCAGGCTGGTCTCGAACTCTGACCTCAGGTGATCTGCCCGCCTTGGCCTCCGAAAGCGCTGGGGTTACAGTGGTGAGCCACCGTGCCTGGCCTTATATTTAAGGTCTTTATGCTTTTATTGTTTTATATTTATGCTTATGCTGTTTAGACACTAGTTTGGGGATCCATTTACTCACCTTTGTATTCATGTGGTATTTTCTTGCAAAGTGCAATATATTTACCACAAATTTAGAATGGAATTAAATGTGAATATCAATATAGATTTGTCATATTTCACGTTTAGGAAATAGGATTAACAACTAGTTTTCCCAAGTCAAAACAGAAAACATTTATACAGGTTCATTGTTTCCCAGTTATGTGTTTATCATTAGCCTTGTAAGACATTGTGAAAGGAATACTAAATTTTTGTCTCTTGAATTTAATCTGAACAACATTTACCTCTTTTTCGTTACAGATTCCTATAACTTTAGGTGTAATCCTAAATTCTTATTACGATGTGAAGTTTAATTTCCTTGGAATGGTGTTTGCTGCTCTTGGTGTTTTAGTTACATCCCTTTATCAAGTGGTTGGTAATTTTTTTTTCTTTATGTGCCTTTTTAGCAGATTTCATAAATTTTGAAGCTGTATTCCAAGGTTTAGAAAATACAGTATAGAGACAATAGACTGTTGGGAAGAAAGCATAATTGCATAAGTTGTCTGACTCAAGGTGAAGAGAAGAAAGGAGACAGAGAAACTTGGGTGTGTGATGCTCACCAAATACCTACCTGTTTGTAAGTGTATAATATCCATGCTTAACAGTCTCAGCTTGGGGTGAAGTTATTTTCTGGGAAATCTTTACAAAATACCTAGTAAGACTTTTTACTTCCTAAGTTTGTTATGTTTTCTGTTTACTCTTTACTTTTAACATTGTTGTGAAGGAGTGAGTATACTTCCAGAAATCTGAACAGTAATGAAAAATTTCAGATTTTTAGATGTTTTTGCCTCAAAAATTATACTGCTGTTACAACTTGTTTATTGGCTTTTAATAATGTGTCTAATATAGATTATTACAATATTATACTCTATATTAATAAATATAGAGTAATTTATATTAATGAATATTTTTCCATTTGTGCAAGCGCAGTGCCTTGCCTATAGCAGATATTCATTAAAAATATGTTCATGGATTCACTTACTTCATTACCATAAAATCCTAACAAGTATGGTTTTTGATTCTTATTTAGTGGAGAAAAAATAACTTGCTGTAGGGGACAGTGAAACGGTATTCTCTCTATACTGAAAACCTTGGTCTGGAAATTCTGGGTGTGCCTGCATGGGGAATCAAAGCCAAAATGTGTAACCAATTTTATTTTTTTCACAAACATCCACTGGTTATTAAACTAAGGCATTCTTGTTTGAAATTTTAGGAGTTCAGTAATAGAGCCCTGGCATCTTAAACATTCTAGTAGTGATCATGTCAGAGACAGTATTTGAAAATATTCTGCAGTGAAATACATTTTCTAGTGGCAGAGAAGCAGTTTAAATAAAAGAAGAGGCTAGTGAACATTCCTATTCATCTTTCTTGTTAAATGCACTTGTTTTTGCCTAGTATAGGCAATTTATTAAACAGAGCAAGTAATTGTACTCCTTATACGTAATAGATTCAGAGTACTCACCATCTCTGTCACTATGACCATTTTTGTTCACACAAGTCTCAAAATTGCTATAGATTAGAATCAAAGGATTCTATATCCCTAAGGTAGATATTTGACATGAGATTGACCAAGGAATGATTGTAGATTAATGGACAGTTTCTTATCAGTAAGTGGTAAAGGTACCATTACAAAATAGGTATATTCCCAAAACATTCCTCTTAAAGAAAGTTGTATCTGCCCACAGTATCTTGGGATAATTTCTATGTTGTTTCTCTTATACTGCTGGAGACATTAAAAGGAGTTAAAAGACAAGTGACCAGCTATTAGCTTGAGTTGTAGAAAGATGGTTGACTCATTCATTCGTTCAGCAGACATCTTTTCTGCATTATGTTCACCCTTGAGGATACAAAGATGAAAAGCAGCTACAGTCCAGCAGTGTAGAAACACAAAGAGACAGCTGGTCACAGTAGCATATGTACCCCAAGGTAGGAGGAAAATTCTGAGGAACACCAAGGAGGAAGTGGCAGCTCTTAAAGAGGGGCGGTGAGGTAAGACTTTACGGAAAAGTTAACAATTTAAATTGAAGGGCACACAGAAATGAGCTCAGCAGGGAAGGACAGCTGGTCTTTTCCTTGCAGTGTGTGTGAAAGTCTGGAGCATTTTTGGAGAACTTGATTTGTTTGGTGAGGCTAGGCAGTAGGTGCATTGTGAGAAGACAAGGCTGAGGAGTGGGTGATACCAGATGTCAGGGTCGTGAAGCCATGCTAAGGAAGTATATCTTTATTGAGCACGCACCAGGAGAGGAGTTCAGACAGGGACTGACTTGATCATTCCCCTGTCTTTAGAAAAGTAACTGATGGCAATGAAGGGTGGGTAAGAGGGAAGGAAGGGTAAAAGGCAGAGCAGTCAGGAACCTACCTGTACTTCACAGGACAGGCAGGAAGGGCCTGGGCTAGGGCGGTGGGAATGGACAGGGAAAGGTTAAAAGGCACTCCAGGGGCGTTTTGGGGAACATAGGAGAACCTGACTGAATGTGAGAGAGAGGAAAGTAAGGCTCTGATCCCTGAGGGAGATTATATCATCAATTATTGGAAACACACAAGAGGAGCCCATTTGTAGAAAAAAGGCACCAGTTGATTTTAAACAAGTTCCTGCAGATTATATAAGTAGAGATGGCCAGGAGACTGGCCAATATAAGGTTAAGGATGCTCAAGCGATGAGGGAAGAGCAGTAGATCTCAGCAAATAGTAAAAGACATCAGTCAGGGCGATGAAAGAGGAAGGCAGGCATCTGCCTTAAAAACTGTTAAGTGCAGGAGGCAGTGAGGGAGGAGTACAAACCAGAGGGTAGTTCTTCCAAGCAAAACTTGCAGGTTCTGCAAAGAGGGCTCGCAGGAAGGGCCACAGGGAGTCTGGACATGTCCATGGAGATCATAGTGCCCTTAGGAGAGCATTAGAGGGGTGGTGGCAGGAGCCAGGCTGTGCTGCATTGAGGGACAGTGGAGGCCTGAGAGCCCCTGCTGTTCCAGGCAGTCCTGTGGCGAAGACACGCGGCTGCCTGAAGAGGCTGCAAAAGGAAAGGCAGGTGAGCACACACCCTCTGTATCCGTTTTTGCTTGCTGCTGTGCCCCAAGGAGCAGGCAGCAGAAGAATCAGTTCTTTGTCCTTCATATTCACAGAGGACTCTTAGTTAAAGCTGGCAGGAGTATGGTTCAAATTCCCTGCTCTTCTATTTTTGTCTTGATGGATTTCTATAGACTTAGAGTTTATGTAACAAGATACCCAGACCTACAGGAACAAGAAGTATGTAGAAGTCATTCAAAAGCCTAGCTGTTCTTGCCAGATCTGATCCAAACAGTCCTGTTAAATCTTCTTCAAAGCCTTTTTTTCAGTTATATTTGTGAAGTATTTTGTGGACGAATGGGATTTGAGGTCTTGAGATGTTGTTTCTACTGAATGGTATGGTATTTTAGGGTTAGTGATTATCCAGTGTATCTAGGTGTATTGGTGGGGGATGAGGAATAGTATCCACAGAAAAGTCATCCAGAGAGAGGAAAATCTCTTCTACCATTGATTGGGTTTTCCAAAGCAACTGACGAGACCACATACCTTTTCAAGCCACACACATTGGCAACCATCTCTAACCTGCCCCCATGCCCCATTGTCATCGTGTCCCCCCAACCTCTGTCTTTGTTTTTTTTTTTTTTTAGACAGAGTCTCACTCTATCACTGAGGCTGGAGTGCAGTGGCGCGATCTCAGCTCACTGCAACCTCCGCCTCCTTGGTTCAAGCGATTCTCCTGCTCAGCGTCCCGAGTAGCTGGGACCACAGGCGCCCGCCACCACGCCCAGCTAATTGTATTTTTAGTAGAGATAGGGTTTCACCATGTTGGCCAGGCTGGTCTCGGACTCCTGACCTCAGGTTATCTGCCTGCCTTGGCCTCCCAAAGTACTGGGATTACAGGTGTCAGCCACTGCTCCTGGCCCCGGTCTTCCATTTTTTAAATTTTGCCATTTTTAGAAAGAAATGAAGTCCAACACTGCATCTGTATTCCTAATCACCTGAATTTCTATTTCTCCCTTATTTTCCCAAGATCTTTTATCCTTGTAGGCCCTTATATGCATTTATTTTTCCCTATTTACTAGGATCAGGTAGAAGGAAATAGAGGACTTTTCTCCTCCTTCTAAGAATTGAGAAGAAGCTAGATTATCAGAAATTAAATTTATAGAGCTATTTTCATCCATGGTGCTTAAAGGGCATTCATATAGCTTACTGGTCTTTGAAATCTTGTAGAATAATTAGACATTTTATCTTCCCCTAGTCTATACCCCACATTCCCATCTTTGTGACTCTAGTTGTCGCATCTTTGATTATGTGATACTATTTCTTTTGTGCCAGACATGTTTTATCTCCTAATTTTCAGTGGGTAGGAGCCAAACAGCATGAATTACAAGTGAACTCAATGCAGCTGCTGTACTACCAGGCTCCGATGTCATCTGCCATGTTGCTGGTTGCTGTGCCCTTCTTTGAGCCAGTGTTTGGAGAAGGAGGAATATTTGGTCCCTGGTCAGTTTCTGCTTTGGTAAGTTCTAATTGTTTTGATATCTAAGAAACAGTATAATAATAACTCCTCCATTATTAATGTAATTTTTAGTTTTCAGAGCACTATGTCCGATCCATTCTCACATTTATCGTCATAATCACCATAAAAGGAGGTAAGGTAAGGATTCTTTTTCAGATGAAGAAATTGAGGTACACAAAGGTGAAGGGACTTGCCTAGAGTGAGGCAGCTACTCAGTGGCAAAAGCAGAACTACAATTAATGTCTTCCGATGCCTGGTTACTGTTCTGACCATGTCAAGCTAGAGCCCACAAATAATTTGGACATTTAGATTAAGTTAAATTTTTTTACAATGAAAACATAGCTTTATAATCACTATTTCGATTTTGAACATACGTAAAAATATAAAGAAAGTGAAGGGGCCAGGCACAGTGGCTCACTCCTGTAATCCCAGCACTTTGGGAGGATGAGCTGGGCAGATCGTTTGAGCCCAGGAGTTTTAGACCAGCCTGGGCAACATAGGAAGACCTCATCTCTACAAAAAATTAAGAAATGGGCAGGGTGTGGTGGCTCATGCCTGTAATCCTGGGAATTTGGGAGGCTGAGGCGGGTGGATCACTTGTCAGGAGTTCAAGACCAGCCTGGCCAACATGGCGAAACCCATTCTCTACTAAAAATACAAAAAAATTAGCTGAGGCTGGGTGCGGTGGCTCATGCCTGTAATCCCAGCACTTTGGGAGACCAAGGCAGGCAAATCACCTGAGGTCAGGAGTTCAAGACCAGCCTGGCCAACATGGCAAAACCCCGTCTCTACTAAAAATACAAAAATAAGCCAGGCGTGGTGGCACACACCTATAATCCCAGCTACTCAAGGAGGCTGAGGCACAAAAATCACTTGAACCCGTGAGGTGGAGGTGCAGTGAGCTGGGATCACACCTGTCTCAAAAAAAAAAAAAAAAAGAATTAGCTAAGTGTGATGGCATGCTTCCTGTAATCCCAGCTACTCAGGAAGCTGAGGCATGAGATTTGCTTGAACCTGGGAGGTGGAGGTTGCAATGAGCCAAGATTGTGCCACTGCACTCCAGCCTGGGCCACAGAGCAAGACTCTGTCTCAGAAAAAAAATAAATAAATAAAAAAGCCAGGCATGGTGGCACATGCCTGCAGTCCCAGCTACTTGGGAGGCTGGGGTGGGAGGATCACTTGAGCCCAGGAGGTCGAGGCTGCAGTGAGCCAAGATAGCACCACTGCATTTCAGCCTGGGCAACAGAGTGAGACCCTGTCTCAAAAAAAAAAACCAAACCAAAACAACAACAACAAAAGAAAGTGAAGGGCCTCTGGAACCCTATCACACTAAGGTAATTACCTTTACCATTTTGGTGAGGATCATTTCATGGATCTCTTTTGTATAAACACATAGGTACACATGCATGTGTGTATAATTTTAGATATGGAATGATATCATAGATGCTGTTTTTATTGCAGATTCCTTTTCCCCAGCCTTCCTAGCCACACACTCTTCCACATTCCATTACCCCCTAATCTTCCACATTCCATTACCCCCTAATCCGTGCCCCTTGAAGTCATGTTAACTTTCTAAGTGCTTGTTCTTCCATATTTTTCTCCATGCCGTATATATCCATACACACACACACACACACACACACACCCCAATTAAACATCTATTTCTTTTCTTTTTTTTGAGATGGAGTCTCACTCTGTCGCCCAGGCTGGAGTGCAGTGGTGCAATTCTTGGCTCACTGCAAACTCCGCCTCCCGGGTTCAAGCGGTTCTCCTGCCTCAGACCCTAGCTGGGACTATAGGCGCACACCACCACGCCCAGCTAATTTTTGTATTTTCAGTAGAGATGGGGTTTCACCATCTTGGCCAGGATGGTCTCAATCTCTTGACCTCGTGACCCACCCGCCTCGGCCTCCCAAAGTGCTGGGATTACAGTCATGAGCCACCGTGTCCGGCCACATCTGTTTCTTTGACAAAAGTGGAATCCTATTACATATGCTTTTCTGTATCTTGCTTTTCTGACTTAATAATATCTCCTAAAAATCTCTCCAAAGCATTCTTTCCAGGGTCTATTTTGTTGTTGTTGTTGTTTTTGTTTTGTTTTGTTTTGTTTTGAGTCAGAGTCTCACTCTGTCACCCAGGCTATAGTGCAGTGGCGTGATCTCTGTTCACTGCAACCTCCACCTCCTGGGTTCAAGTGATTCTTGTGCCTCAGCCTCCCGAGTAGCTGGAATTAGAGGTGTGCGCCACCATGCCTGGCTAATTTTTTTGTATTTTTGATAGAGACAGGGTTTCACCATGTTGGCCAGGCTGGTCTTGACCTCCTGACCTCAAGTGATCCACCCACCTCGGCCTCCCAAAGTGCTGGGATTACAGGCGTGAGCCGCCGCGCCCAGCCGGTGTCTGTGTAATAGCCCCTCTGCATATTCACTTTTTTCCCAGTTCTTTACCACTATGAACAATATTGTGATAAACATCCTTGTACATCATGTGTTCTCATGTACTGATAACTTTTTTCCTATGGAAATGAGTCCCAGGAGTGGAATTGGCAAATCAAGGGCATATGTATTTTGGGGACTTTTATTTTTTAGAGACAGTGTCTGGCTATGTTGCCCAGGCTGGCCTCAAGCTCCTGAGCTCAAGTGATCCCCCCAACCTCAGCCTCCCAAGCAGCTAGGACTAATGCGTTGGGGACATTTTAAGTTAGAATGTATAATCCTCCTATGTCTTAGTCAGTTCAGGCTGCTATAACAAAACTACAATGGACTGGGTGGCTTAAACAACAAATACTCATTTCTCACAGTTCTGAAGTCTGGAAGTCTGAGAACAGGCTGCCAGTATGGTTGGGTTCTTGGTGAAGGCTCTTTTCCTGCTTTATAGATGGCAGTCTTCTTGCCATATCCTCATCTGACAACAAGGAAGAGGAGAAGCAAGCTCTCTTGTATCTCTTCTTATCATAGGGACTAATCCCATTCATGAAGGCTCTGCCCTTATGCCATAGTCACCTCCCAAAGGCCCCACCTCCCAATACCATCACCTTGCGGGTGAGGATTTCAACATAGGAATTTTGGGGGGACACAAACATTCAGTCCATAATACCTTACTTATCAGGAATTCCTGCTTCCCACAAGAGTTCCCACAACTCTTGGAACACAGTCAGTGGGAATATCTTTTTTGTTGGTCGCATCAATTTATCAAGCACCTATATAGCCCTTAGTCTGTTCCCAGCACTATTCAAAGCACTATGTAAATATTAACTTATTTAATCTTCATAACTTTATTAGGTTGATGCTATACTAATACTATTTGTATTAGTCCATTTTATGATGTTATAAAAGCATACCTGAGACTAATTTATAAAGAAAAGAGGTTTATTTTGGCTTATGGTTCTGCAGACAGTACAAGAAGCATTAGTGCTGGCATCTACTTCTAGTGAGGGCCTCAGGAAGCTTACAGTCATGGTGGAAGGTGAAGGGGGAGCAGGCATGTCACATGGCGAGAGAGGGAGCAAGAGAGAGAGGGGAGGAAATGCCAGTCTCTTTTAAACAGCTAGCTCTCATGAGAACTAATAGAGCAAGAACTCACTCATTACCCTGGGGAGGGCACCAAGCCATTCATGAGGGATCCAGCCCCATAACCCAAACACCTTCTACTAGGCCTCACTTCCAACATTGGTGATCAAATTTCAACATGAGATTTGGAGGGAACAAACATCCAAACTATATTACCATTGTTATTATTTTTACTGATGAGGAAACCGAGAGATAAAGAGTTAGTAACTGGCTCGCAATCCCACAGCTAATAAGCAGAAACACAATTTGGATACATGCCTTCTGGGTCCAAAGTCTGTGTTCTCCAGTGCTCCGCTCTGCTTCCCCTAAGTAGACCAGTAGTTATTTCAAATTTATATATTTTACCATATACACTTTTTTTCTAAAGTAGAGGTCATTGGACCATCTATCAGATAATATTTCCACTTTGCAAAAGTCCTAGCCATCCTGGTTATCTGGTTTCAAACCATTGCAGCCTAGAGACCTTATACTACAAGGAGAGAGGATTTTTTTCGTAGCCTTCTAACAGGTTTTAAAATGAGGACAGCAGCAGAAAAGCCATTAAAAAAAAAAAAAAAAAAAGGCAAAGAAACCAAGACCACAGCAGGCTGAGGCCATTTAGTGTGAAGGAAAGTCATCTTCATTCCTTAATGTCCCTAGGAGGCATCCTTGACTCAAAGTAGAGGATTGTGTCAACTCAACTTTTTTTTTTTTTTTCCATATGAAGCCAGCATTACCCTAATACCAAAACCAGGAAAGGACACAACCAAAAAAGAAAACTAAAGACCAATATCCTTGATGAACATAGATGCTAAAATCCCTAACAAAATACTAGCTAACTGAATCTAATGACGTATCAAAAAGATAATCCACCATGATCAAGTGGGTTTCATACCAGGGATGTGGGGATGGTTTAACATACAAAAGTCAATAAATGTGATACACTATGTAAACAGAATTAAAAACAAAAATCACATGATCGGCCAGGCGCAGTGGCTCACCCCTGTAATCCCAGCAATTTGGGAGGTCAGGGCGGGCGGATCACGAAGTCAGGAGATTGAGACTAGCCGAGACCATCCTGGCTAACACGGTGAAACCCCGTCTCTACTAAAAATACAAAAACAAAATTAGCTGGGCGTGGTGGCTGGTGCCTGTAGTCTCAGCTACTTGGGACGCTGAGGCGGGAGAATGGCGTGAACCCGCGAGGCGGAGCTTGCAGTGAGCCGAGATCGTGCCACTGCACTCCAGCCTGGGCGACAGAGTGAGACTCCAAATAAATAAATAAATAAATAATGGCATGATCATCTCAATAGATGCAGAAAGAGCATTTGACAAAATTCAGCATCGCTTTATGATTAAAACCCTTGGCAAAATCGGCATACAAAGGACATACCTTAATTTAATAAAAGCCGTCTATGACAGACCCTCAGCCAACATAATACTGAATGGGGAAAAGTTGAAAGCATTCCCTCTGAGAACTGGAACAAGACAAGGATGCCCACTCTTACCACTCCTCTTCAACGTGGAACTAGCTTCTTTATATTCTTCAAAGTCCGTAACAAAGACCCTAACAAAGTAGAGTAATTGTGTTTTTAATGATGTGCCAAGTATCAAGTTTAAGTTTTCTTTGGAACTTAAACTTCTTAATAGTTTATATCATGAATATCATTTTATCTAAATTCAGAAACAAAATGATTCTATAACTTTTTGGATAAAATTATGGGATAGATTTGAACAGAACTTTGTATGTGTATATAGTGGTCCAACCCATTTGTCCCCCTGTGCCCAGCCAAGTTATCTATAAAAAGGAATAATATTTTTACAACTACTTTGTGGATGTATGTGAAAATTAAATAAGTGAATACATGTAAAACAGAACAATTATTGGTGCATAATAAGTGTTATGTAAGTGTAAGCAGTGATCATCATGATTTTTATTATGTCCTCAAGTAGTTTCTAAGCTCTTTGAGGGCAGGAACTTTGTACATACTGCGTTCCTCAGAAGGCCTGGCCTAACTTTGTAGATATCCAATGAATGCTTATTGAGTTAAATAAGAATAAAAATGAGGCCAGGTGCAGTGGCTCAGGCCTGTAATCCCAGCACTTTGGGAGGCCAAGGGGTGCAGATCACCTGAGGTCAGGAGTTCGAGACCAGCCTGGCCAACATGGTGAAACCCCATCTCTACCAAAAAATTCAAAAAAAATTAGGTGGGTGTGGTGGCATGGGCCTGTAATCCCAGCTACTGGGGAGGCTGAGGCAGAAGAATCACTTGAACCTGGGAGGCAGAAGTTGCAGTGAGTCAAGATTGCACCACTGCACTCTAGACTAGGCGACAGAATGAGACTCCATCTCAAAAAAAAAAAAAGAATAAAAATGAGCAATTTAATAGAAAAAGATCTCGGCCGGGTGCAGTGGCTCACGCCTGTAATCCCAGCACTTTGGGAGGCCGAGGTGGGTGGATCATGAGGTCAGGAGTTCAAGACCAGCCTGGCCAAGATGGTGAAACCCATCTCTACTAAAAATACAAAAAATTAGCCGGGCGCAGTGGCAGGCGCCTGTAGTCCCAGCTACTCAGGAGAATGAGGAAGGAGAATCATTTGAATCTGGAGGGTGGAGGTTGCAGTGAGCCCAGATCGTGCCACTGCACTCCAGCCTGGGTGACAGAGTGAAACTCCGTCTCAAAAAAAAAAGAAAAAGATCTCGAAGGAGGTATGCCGAGATGTTAATGTGTGGGTGGTTGGGATTATAAGAATTCCTTATATTCTTTTTGCTTTTCTTTATTGTCTGATGTACAATAATAATAATGCATATGTATACTTTTTCTTTAGATTAATAAGAAAAATGAACCTGGAAATTCACAATCACAGAAAGGATGTTATTGCAGTATTTTTCGTTGATTCTTGTGGAAAAAATTACGTTTTTTCTAAACACGGTTCATTCTGCTTTTTTACTTGCAATTCTTACTGTCTCCCAACCCCAAATTCTCTTTCTTTTTTTTTTTTTTTTTTTTTTTTTTTTTTGAGATGGAGTCTTACTCTGTCGCCCAGGCTGGAGTGCAGTGGCGTGATCTCGGCTCACTGCAAGCTCCACCTTCCAGGTTCATGCCATTCTCCTGCCTCAGCCTCCCAAGTAGCTGGGACTACAGGCGCCCGCCACTGCGCCCAGCAAATTTTTTATATTTTTAGTAGAGATGGGGTTTCACCATGGTCTCGATCTCCTGACCTCGTGATCCGCCCGCCTTGGCCTCCCAAAGTGCTGGGATTACAGGCGTGAGCCACCGCGCCCGGCCCTCTCTTTCTAATCTTATTTATTAATGGTTGATATTTGAATTTTTTAAAATGCCGAATGAAATGTATCTTTGCTTGATGATTATGATTGCAGTGCTTTGCATTAATGGTTCTTTTGGTTTATTTGTAGCTTATGGTGCTGCTATCTGGAGTAATAGCTTTCATGGTGAACTTATCAATTTATTGGATCATTGGGAACACTTCACCTGTCACGTATCCTTTTCATATAACTTAGAAATGCATCGTCTTTTATATTTTCCAAAACTTTTACATTCATTACCTTATTTGAATCTCACACTAACTATTGCATGGCCTAAATTGAGTAGAGAGAGTTATTTTTAGCCTTTTACTGTATCTTTACCCACTAAAGGATTTTAAAGAAATATGAACTGAAGGGGCAAGTGTGGTGGCTCACACCTGTAATCCCAACACTTCAGGAGGCCGAGGCGGGTGAATCGCTTAAGGCCAGGAGTTCAAGACCAGCCTGGATAACATGGTGAAACCCCGTCTCTACAAAAAATATATAAATTAGCTGGGTAAGGTGGTGCACGCCTGTAATCCCAGCTACTCAGGAGGCTGAGGCACAAGAATTGCTTGAACTGGGGAGTCGGAGGTTACAGTGAGCTGAGATTGTGCCACTGTACTCCAGCCTGGGCAACAGAGCAAGACTCTGTCTTAAAAAAAAAAAAAAAGAAATATGAACTGAGGAAGTGGGTTAGCTTTTTGTGTCATGAATGTTTCTGAATTTTCTTATGTAATAGGTGACCTTTTCCCTTACAAAAATTAACTCAGAGTACCATTTCTTACAGACAGTGAGATTAAATATTTTTTGAATGAATAGTGAGGTGGAGGTTTGGATTTTCAAACAATTTTCAGGTATTTCTAGTAACAAAGTAGAGGAATGGTTAACAAATAACAAAAGATAATTTCAGGCCACTGGCATCTGGCTATGGAGTATGTGTTTGTACTTATTTGGATATGGGTGTGCCTGTTTTTCTCAATATTATTTCAAGTCAAGAAATGAAGTCATTGGCCGGGTGCCATGGCTCACGCCTGTAATTCCAACACTGTGGGAGGCCGAGGCAGGAGGATCGCTTGAGCCCAAGAGTTCGAGACCAGCCTGGGCAACATAGGGAGAACCTATCTCTACCAAAAAAAGAAAAAATAGAAATGAAGTTATATGTTAAAGGTCAAATTCAACTGTCCATTTGTACCATTCTGCTTGTCATCCTGTTTCTCTTCACATTTCACTCTGCCCCCACCCTTAGGCAAATGCAACAAATGAATTTCCCCAGGAAGTAAACAAGTAGGATATTTGCCAACTATCAATAAAAAACAACAACGATAAGTTTTTTAGAAAACCAATACTTAACAAATATTTATTTTGTGTCAGACACTGTTAGAAACATTTTGTATGTATTAGTCCATTTAATTCTCACAGCAGCTCTGTGAGGTAAAGTCTGTCATTTTTGTTTATAGAAAAAATAGAGGCACAGAGAGGTTAACCAACTCACTTAAGGCACACAGCTGACAAATGGGATGTCCAGATTTGAACCCATGCAGTCTAGTCCCCAAATTTGTACATCATACTACCCAATCAAGGCATCCAAATATGTGCTCTGATTTAAAACATTAATTTATTCAATAAGTATTTATTGAATACCCACTAAACCAGTCATTGATATAAAAATATTTATATACTGAACATCTACTGTGTGCCAGGCACAGGGGATACAGTAATGAACCACATAGACAAAAGTCTTTGCTCTCACAGGCTTGAATTCTGGTGAGGAAGACTAGAAATAGAAAACAATTAAATATTTATATACAGTGTTGGATAGTGTTAACTGCCAAGGAGTAAAAATAAAGCGGGGAAGAGAATGTGAAATGTCATAGACAGCATTGAAGTTCTAGGCAGGGCTAGTCAGGAAGGCATCAGTGGGAAGACGACATTTGAGTAAAGACCTGAAGGAAATGCAGTTGCTCCATGCAGATCAGGAGGAAAGAACATTCCAGGCAGAGGCAACAGCAGGTGCGAGGCCGTAAAAAAACCAAGGAAGCCTGTGTGGTTAGAGCAGGTTGAGCAAAGGAGGGAATGTGGTAGGCTGAGAAGTAACACAGAACTGAATTGAGTAGGGCGTTTATGTAAGGACTATTAAACTGAGTAAGATGGGAAGCCATTAGCATTTTGAGCAGAGAAGTAACATGATTTTACATACATTCTAATAGAAGCACTCAGTGGGCCGGGCACAATGGCACACCTGTCATTCCAACACTTTGGAAGGCCAAGACAGGAGGATCCCTTGAGCCCAGGAGTTCGAGACCAGTCTGGGCAACATAGTAAGACCCTGTCTCTACAAAAAGTTTTTTAAAATAAAATAAATCATAGAATCACTCAGGACTCCTGTGTTGAGAATAGACTTAAGAAGGATTTCTCAACCTCTGGGCTGTTGACTTTTTGGGCTAGACGGTTCTTAGTGCAGGCCTGTTTAGTACACTGTAGGATGTTTTCAGCAGGCCTGGGCTCTACCACCAGATGCCAGTAGCATACATACCCTTTGCCCAGTTGTGACAACCAAAAATGCCTCCAAAGATTGCCCACAAAGCAGAATCACCCATGGTTGAGAACTACTGGACTGAAAGAGGCACAGGAAACTCAGGAGACTGCTACGATATTCTAATTTAGAAGTAATAGTGGCTACCAGTATGATAGCAGTGGATATAGTAAGAAGTGATTGGATTCTGGAAATATTTCTAAGAAGAGCCAACAGGTTTTGCTGCCGAGTTGGATGTGGAGAAAGAGAAAACAAGGCTGATTTACATGGTTTTTGACCTGAGCACCTGGTAGAATGGAGTTGCCATCAACTAAGATAGGATACCCAGAAGGAGGTTTGGGGCTGGGGAGGAAGATAAGGTGCTCAGTTCGGGGAGTATTTTGTTGTTGTTGTTTTTGAGACAGGGTCTTGCTCTGTCACCCAGGCTGGAGTGAAGTGGCGCGATCATGGTTCACTGCAACCTCAAACTGTTGGGCTCAAGCATTCTTCCCACCTCAGCCTTCCAAAGTGCTGGGATTACAGGTGTGAGCCACCGTGCCCAGCCAGGTGCTCAGTTTTGGATAAACAAGTCAGGGTTCAAAGGTGACGTCTCAGCAGGAGGCATCACAGGGAGTGAGCAGTATGAAGCTGTGGTTTAAAGTGATGAGACTAGTTGAGATTACCAAGCAGACAAGTAGAAGAAAATAAGTCCAAAGACTGAGTGTTGGGTTTGAGTCCAGTATTTGGAATTCAGAGAGATGAGAAACTAGGTGGAGGATGAGAAGGAGCAGTCAGAGGTGGAAGGAAGGAGGAGACTGGCACAGAACCAGAGGAAGGAGGAGGAGGCGGGGTCGGTGTCTGTGTCAGATGCCGCTGGCAGGCCAAGTTCAAGGAGACTGGTCACCATTGAGGGACTGAGTGAGGTGGAGGGCACTGGGTTTGACCAGAACATTCTGCCTGGAGTAAAGTGGGTTGGGGTTGGGGTGACAGCCTGCCTGGAGTAAAGTGCAGAACTGGAAATACCACATGTAGACTGCTCTTTTGTTGTTGCTTTTACAAAAGGATTCATAAATAGTTTCTTTAAATTTGACTTCCTTCTCGTATAAATATACTTAAAAGAGAAGCTGAGGAGTAAAGAAATTTAAAGTGTTAGAGCCAGTGCACATGAAGATAGCTCATAATTGAAAATAAAACATTATGACTATTGCCAACAACCTTGGGAAGATCCTCTGTGTCTCAGGAAGTCACCTTCATGGGATCAAGCCACCATATGCCCCTGGTGACGCAGCCTGTGCTCTCCTGAGGCACTGCTGCTGCCCAGCGGGAACCTCCAGGCTGCTTAGGTGGGCTTGGAGGTCAGACAGGTCCAGGTGTGAACACTGAGCTCTGCCACTCTCTGTGGGCCTGACTAGTGTGGGAACTCTCAGGGTCTCACTCTGATCACTTATGAAATGTATGAAGTGGAGGAAGTACGATCTATGATGTTGGGTGGTTGTATTTGAGAGAATGTGTCAAGCACCAAGCAGGTGTTTATGATACATAAGTACTGCTGTTGGTAATGTTATTATAGCTAGCACATATGGTGCTTACTATATGCTAGAAGCTTTGTGTATATTAACTTATTTAATCCTTACAATAACCGTGGGAGGTAAACCCCTTTTATATAGTGAGGAAACTAATGCACAGAGTGGTGGCTGTTTCTAGTGTTGTAGTTAGGAAAAGCACATAGGCAAACATCATACATCTGAAGAACAAGAGAGTACTCATTTATATAGAAAAAATAGTTATATTTAAATATAAGTAATTGTGTGTGTGTGTGTGTGTCTGTGTCTGTGTCTGTGTCTGTGTGATGGAGTTTCGCTCTTGTTGCCCAGGCTGGAGTGCAATGGTGTGATCTCGGCTCACTGCAACCTCCGCCTCCCAGGTTCAAGCGATTCTCCTGCCTCAGCCTCCCGAGTAGCCGGTATTACAGGCATGCACCACCACGCCCGGCTAATTTTGTACTATTAGTAGAGACAGGGTTTCTCCATGTTGGTCAAGCAGGTCTCGAACTCCTGACCTCAGGTGATCCACGCCCCTTGGCCTCCCAAAGTGCTGGGATTAGGATTAGAGGCGTGAGCCACCGTGCCTGGCCACAAGTAATTTTTAAATGGTGTGTGTGTGTATTTAGTTTGCTTTTTAAATGAACAATGATTTGGAAAAATCTTAATCCAGTGGCATGTTACTGGCAGTATTTTGGATTAGAACGTGGGCTTTCAAGTTAAATAGACCCATTCATGTTTGGACTCCACCTCTGCTACTTAATAGCTCTGTAATCTGGGGCATGTTACTTAAAATCTCTGAGCCTCTACAACCGTAAATAGGAAGAGTGAGCCTGCAGTGAAGGTAAACGTGATGCCTAACTTCGACGATTTCATGTAAATCGCCCAGCATGATGTTTGGTGTATAGTTGGTGCTCAGTATTACTCCCTCTCCCCCTCCCTCTTTTCCCTCCTTAACTCAAGTTAGCTCTTTGGTACCTTACATATCTCACTTCATTTCCCAAGGAAACACCACTGTAAAACATAATTATAAATTGCTGTACAAAATACCTTCCCTGGACCTTGTTTGAAGGTCTTTCCTTTTATATTGTATCCCTTTTCTTTTTTGGAGGTCAGTAGGAATGGTTGAGGCAGTCTTGTGTCTCTGATGAATCAATCGCTAAAACCTACCTGAAGAAACTAAGAAGTTCCCATTATTCTCTTTTTTTAGACAGTCTTGTTCTGTCGCCTGGACTAGAGTGCAGTTGTGCATTCTTGGCTCACTGCAACCTCCACCTCCTGGGTTTAAGTGATTCTCATGCCTCAGGCTCCCAAGTAGCTGGGATTGAAGGCATGTGCCACCACGCCCAGCTAATTTTTGTATTTTTTGTAGAGACAAGGTTTCACCATGATGGCCAGGCTGGTCTCAAATTCCCAGCCTCAAGTGATCCACCACCTCAGCTTCCCAAAGTGCTGGGATTACAGGCATGATCCACCACGCCTGGTCCCATTGTTCTTTACATCTGATGGGCTGCTTTTGGGTTGTTTTATGCAGTGCGAGTGTGTGTGTAAATATTAACATCTATCTTGTTATTCCTTTTTATCCTTATCCAAAAACCTCAGCTATAACATGTTCGGACACTTCAAGTTCTGCATTACTTTATTCGGAGGATATGTTTTATTTAAGGATCCACTGTCCATTAATCAGGCCCTTGGCATTTTATGTACATTATTTGGCATTCTCGCCTATACCCACTTTAAGCTCAGTGAACAGGAAGGAAGTAGGAGTAAACTGGCACAACGTCCTTAATTGGGTTTTTGTGGAGAAAAGAATGTTGTCCCAAGAAGATAAAAAATATTGTTAAGTGTGCAAGTTATTAAAAAAAAAAAATTGGGCCAGGCACGGTGGCTCACGCCTGTAATCCCAGCACTTTGGGAGGCCAAGGCCAGCGGATCACTTGAGGTCAGGAGTTCGAGACCAGCCTGACCAACATGGAGAAACCCTGTCTCAACTAATAATACAAAATTAGCCAGGCGTGGTGGCGCATGCCTGTAATCCCAGCTACTCGGGAGGCTGAGGCAGGAGAATCACTTGAACCCGGGAGGCGGCGGTTGCAGTGAGCCGAGATCGTACCATTGCACTCCAGCCTGGGCAACAAGAGCGAAACTCCATTTCAAAAAAAAAAAATTGGTGACAGACTCAATGATGGAATGATTTGTCGGAATTAACACAAAGCAGATTTTATTCATATAATGACTTTTTTTTAAGAGTCTCTTTTTTAAAAAAACTTAATTCTCTAAAACCGAAATGGTTCATGCTTCTTTTTAAAAATGATTGTATAAAATGTATGGAATGGTTAGCCTGGTGTGGTGGTGCACACCTGTAATCCCAGCTACTTGGGAGACTGAGACATGAGAATCGCTTGAGCCTGGGAGGCGGAGGTTGCAATGAGCCAAGATCGTACCACTGCACTCCAGCCTGGGCGACAGAGCAAGACACTGTCTCTCTCTCTCTCTCCATATATATATGTGTGTGTGTGTATATATATATATATGTGTGTGTGTGTGTGTGTATACATATATACACATATATACACACACACATACATATACATGTGTATATATATACCATCCCATATATATGTGGGATATATATATATATATATATGGATATGGTTATATATATGGGATGGTTTGGTTGGTCCCAGCAAAGTATATGAAAATTAAAGTTCTGTGATAATGACAAAGGAATTGCTGTTACTGTACTGCAAATATGCTGTGGGTTCTCGGTGTTCAAACTCTTCTAAGGAAGGACACACAGTAGCTCTCTGCTTGCTGATAGATGGTTTCCCAGTGTGAGATTTGTTATTTTGATCAGAGTATTCAAATCAGAATTTAAATCTAGTGTTTCTATTTTAGTTTAGCTTCCTGATTTATATAAATGAAATCTCATTTATAAAGTATAATAAAGATGACTGTAAGACAAAATCCAATTCTAAAAGTATGATTTTTTTCTAGTAGAAAATTGATGTAAGAAATCATACATTATTCATACATTTATAGGTCATCTCTTTGAGTTTTCAGTGAACTATAGAAACTATATGGAGTTAAAAAACAAAACGGCAGCCAATCTCAGTGGCTCACACCTGTAATCCCAGCACTTTGGAAGGTTGAGGCAGGCAGATCACCTGAGGTTGGGAGTTCAAGACCAGTCTGACCAACATGGAGGAATCCCGTCTCTACTAAAAATACAAAATTAGCCAGGCATGGTGGCACATGCCTGTAATCCCAGCTGCTCGGGAGGCTGAGGCAGGAGAATCGCTTGAACCCAGGAGGCAGAGGTTGTGGTGAGCCGAGATCATGCCATTGCTCTCCAGCCTGGGCAACAAGAGTGAAACTCCATCTCAAAAAAAAAAAAAAAAAATAGCCCTATGTTTAAATGGCTCAAAGAAAAGACTATAAATGGAATTGAACATGTTTGTTAGCTGTTTGAGCATTTTATATTGGTAAATTTTTTATTTTCTTATTTTTTGTCTTACAGTCGACCAGGCTGGAATGCAGTGGCACAATCATGGCTCACTGCAGCCTCAGCCTCCTGGGCTCAAGCAATCCTCCTGCCTCAACCTCCCCAGTAGCTGGGACTACAGGTGCACACCAACATACCTGGCTGATTTTTATATTTTTTGTAGAGACAGAGTTTTGCCATGTTGCTCAGGCTGATCTCAAACTCTTGAGCTCAAGCCATCTGTCTGCCTCAGCCTCTCGAAGTGCTGGGATTACAGGCCTGAGCCACCACACCTGGCCAGTAATTTCTTAATCCTACCTCCCTGCTTCTATTGCCTAGCCCGTACATTTGAGGCTTCCATGGAGCTTTCTGTGGTACTGAAACACTTGGAGTGAACTGCAAACTTGGAGTGAACTACATCCAACCTTTCTAAGGTGGCTGGGGAAAATTCTTGTACAGCAAGTTGGGACAAAATAGCCATATAGAAACAGCCATATAAGATCCCAATATAGAAAAATTGGGATATTAGAGGAAATACATGATTTCCATTTATGGAGTGCTACATGTTTGCAAAATGTATTTCTGCTTTTCATCTTCTTGACATCTGAATATTAAAAGCAGTTGTTGATAATTTCATATAATAAATTGAGACATATCATTACTCTTGTAATAATTCATTTTCTAAATGTTATTTATCAACTTTCATGGAGAAAACAACTCTTAGGAGAACAAAGACCAGCCCGGGCAACATGGCAAAACCCTGTCTGCAAAAAATACAAAAATTAGCCGGGCCTAGTGGCACGTGCCTGTAGCTCCATCTACTCAGGAGGCTGAGGTGGGAGGATTGCTTGAGCCCAGAAGATGCAGGTTGCAGTGAGCCGAGATCATGCCACTGCACTTCAGCCTGGGCGACAGACTGGACTCTGTCTCGGGAAAAAAAAAAAAAAAAAAAGGGAAGAGCGACAAAATATACCTTTTGATAAGACAGTAAATTTTATGTTTTGTGTTTTTTAACACAATAAAAATATATATACACACATATAATATACCTTTGGGGTTTTTAGGATTTTTTTTTCCTGGACTCTGAAATGAGAAGCCTCGCTGAAAATCTGTTTTGGAGAATTCCAGTTTGTCAGTCAGTCTCTTGTGTAATTAGTACGTGTGGCTTCCTTCTTTGTTTTAAATATTCTTTGGTTCTTCTCATTTTACAAAGATATATATTTTTTGTGCTAAGGACAGAGCAATTAGTTTTTACCAGATAAGCCTCGGGTATTATGTTTGTCTAAGAAACATTCTCTGTGTATGTTTAAATTGTAATTATTTCCCAAAAGCTGAGGAAAATGTTTCAGCACAGTGAGGATTTGACGTCTGCACTGAGAACAGCTGAGTTTATTTGTGCCATTTAGAAATTCGTAACTGTAGGCTGGGCGCAGTGGCTTACGCCTATAATCCCAGCACTTTGAGAGGCCAAGGCGGGTGGATCACCTGAGGTCAGGAGTTTGAGACCAGCCTGGCCAACATGGCGAAACACTGTCTCTACTAAAAATACAAAAATTAGCTGGGCATGGTGGCGGGCGCCTGTAATTCCAGCTACTCGGGAGGCTGAGACAGGAGAATCACTTGAACCAGGGAGTCGGAGGTTGCAGTGAGCCGAGACTGCGCCATTGCACACCAGCCTGGGTGACGAGAGTGAAACTCTGTCTCAAAAAAAGAAAAAAAAAAAGAAATTTTTAACCGTAAATAGAACTTGGGGAGGGTGTTATATAATATATGTGTCAGTAGGAAGGCAGTAAGAAGATTGGAGTAAGACAGGATGGGGTTACATGTATATAAATGAATAAAATAAGTACTGCTAAAACTTGAGTCTGATAAACTTTTTTGCCCCGAAGATAATCATCCCACTGAAAAGAAAACTCTGGGGAAAATATGCCAGATACTAGGACCAAGCACGGAGACAAACCAGATACAGTGCTTTCAAAGAAAACATGCTTGCTGTCCTTTGTTACCAGTGTAATTGTAATTATTGTTTATTCTGTGTTAAGTGACTGAATTTCAATTTTTACCTTTTAAAAATAAAGAGAACCTCTTTTTACTTCTGTATTGCATATGAGAGCTGATGGAAGAAGGATGGCATCTGTGTAACATATGCATGGTAACGCTGACGTGTTCAGCTGTTCATATTTGGCCTGTCCAAATAAGCAGAAATGAATGAAACAAAATTCCATCTCCTTTTAGAAATAACATAAAGGAGAAATCTATCTCTGTGAAATGAAGTAAGCATTCTTCTGTTTCACTTTTTAAAATACTTTTAAAATCTTGCTGTTTTCAACCTATTAATGACTTTTTGAAATTGTATTTCAAAGCAGAAACATTAGGTTGGGTATGGTGGCTCACGCCTGTAATCCCAGCACTTTGGGAAGCTGAGGTGGGCAGATCACCTGAGGTCAGGAGTTCAAGACCAGCCTGGCCAATATGGTGAAACCTTGTCTCTACTAAAAATACAAAAATTAGCCAGGTGTGGTGTTGCATGCCTGTAGTCCCAGCTACTTGGGAGGCTGAGGCAGGAGAATGGCTTGAACCCGGGAGGCGGAGGTTGCAGTGAGCCGAGATCACGCCACTGCACTCCAGCCTGGGCAACAGAGCAAGACTCCATCTCAATAATAATAATAATAATAACAAAGCAGCAACATTAATCAAGCACTCTGTATTCACTCCGTCAGTAAATACTGTCGGGTGAATGACTGCAGAATGGCCAAAGGTGAGAGTTTGATTAAAAGAAAGGAGACCTTGGCCGGGCACGGTGGCTCACGCCTGTAATCCCAACACTTTGGGAGGCTGAGGTGGGTGGATCACCTGAGGTCAGGAGTTCGAGACCAGCCTGGCCAACATGGTGAAACCCCATCTCTACTAAAAATACAAAAAAATTAGCTGGGCGTGGTGGTGGATGCCTGTAATCCCAGCTACTTGGGAGGCTGAGGCTGGAGAATCCCTTGAACTTGGGAGGCGGAGGTTTCAGTGAGCCAAGATCATGCCATTGCACTGCAGCCTGGGCAACAAGAGCAAAACTGTCTCAAATAAATAAATAATAAAAGAAAGGAGACCGGATTTATTAGATGTGGTCCGTTTTGTCTTTCTGTTCCCAAACTTAAACTGGATTATACCTGCTAATATCAGGAATATAATGATAATTGCATTCATTCAACAAAAATTTATTGAGCATATACTGTGTGCCAGGTACTGTCCTAGGCATTATGGATATAAAACAGTTTTTATGTAGAGACAGTCCTATATTTCCTGTGATCTTAAGGAACATTTGTCTAGTATTAGAGATAGGACTAATTAAACAAAAACAAGACAAGAATAATTAAACAGCAAACTCAATGAATGCTAAAGGGAACATCGTTCTGTGAGCACATAACAAAAGAATCTGGCCCAGGCTTGGCACTTGTGGAGGGAGTCCATGAGGAAAGTTTGAGCTGCAGTCATAGATACATAGAAGTTAGCTAGCTAGGCAGAGGGAGGGTATTGCATTCTGGAAAGAGGGAATAGCACATACAAATGCCTAGTGGTTGGAGGAATTGTGATGCTTTTAAAGAACTGTAAAAAGGATGGAGTCTGGAGACTAAATTTGGGAGTGGGGAGACATGGTGTGTCCTGCACCTGGAAATGTAGATAGACCTCAGGCCATACAATACCTGGAGGCTATGGTAAGCATCTTTAGTAAGAGCAAGGGGGAGTGTTGTGAGCACTGTCACAGTAAATTTCTTTTTTTGAAATTAGTGGAGGAGAACCAGAGAGATGCCAGGAGACCAGTTAGTTGGGAGATGACTGTAGTTAGAGATGGTGGTAGCTTCAAAGGTAGTGGAATGAGATAAGTGGAAATAATTGAGTAGCTGGAGTCAACTGGACTGGAGATGGATTGGAAATGGAGGGCATGAGAAGGGGTGAAGTTAAGGATCACACTTCAGCTGGGCACAGTGGCTCATGCCTGTAATCCCAGCACTTTGGGAGGCTGAGGTGGGTGGATTGCTTGAGTCCAGGAGTTCGAGACCAGCCTGGGCAAACATGATGAAACCCCATCTCTACAAAGAATACAAAATTAGCTGGGCATGGTGGTGTGGGCCTGTGGTCCCAGCTACTCAGGAGGCTGAGGCGGGAGGATCTCCTGAGCCCAGGAGTTTGAGGCTTCAGTGCGCCATGATCACGCCACTGCACTCTAGCCTGGGTGACAGAGTGAGTCCCTGTCTCAACAACAACAAAAAATCACACATGTCTGATTTGCGCAGCTTGATAGAGAATGGTGCCATTCTCTGAACTAGGAAACACAAGAAGAGGACTGAGGAGAGGGATGAGGCAGAGGAATATTATGGGCCTTCTTGATACTGAGATATCCAATTAAAGATGTTGGCCAGGCATGGTGGCTCAGGCTTGTAATCCCAGCACTTTGGGAAGCTGAGGCAGTCAGATCACTTCAGATCAGGAGTTTGAGACCAGCCTGACCAACATGGTGAAACCCCGTCTCTACTAAAAGTACAAAAATTAGCTGTGTGCGGTGGTGCATGCCTATAATCCCAGCTACTTAGGAGGCTGAGGCAGGAGAATCGCTTGAATCTGGGAGGCAGAAGCTGCAGTGATCTGAGATTGCACCACTGCACTCCAGCCTGGGTGACAGAGAGAGACTCTATCTCAGAAAAAAAAAAAAAAGATGTTAATCAAATAATTAGTTTATAGAGGCCCAGAACTCAGGAAAATGTTTAGTTGAGGTGGAGATAAAACAGGAGTTTCTGGGGTATGCCTGATAAGGAGGAAAACAGACCAAGATGAGCTTGCTGAAGAAGATAGCATAAAGCAAGAACAGACTATAACTGAAGTTGAGGAACTCTGGTATACAATGATAGAACATAATGCTGCAAAAGAAACAGAGAAGGAACAAAGAGGTGGGAGGAAAATGGGCCGGGCACTGTGGCTTATGCCTGTAATCCCAACATTTTTGAGAGGCCAAGCTGGGTGGATCTCTTGAGCTCAGGAGTTCAAGACCAGCCTGGGCATCATGGCAAAACCCTGTCTCTACAAAAAATACAATAATTAATAGTTTCGAAAGAAAGAAACCTGCCAAGCAAAAGTCCGGTCTCAGCCCGGGAGCTAGTAGCATGCAGTGGAACAGGTCTCACCTGGACGGCAGCACTGGGACTTCCAGTCCAGACTCTGCCATTCACTGGTATAGCCTTTGGCAAAGCCTTTGGGCAGCTTGCTCAAATCTTACTTCTCAGTTTCTTCACCTATAAAATGAGGGCTTTGATCCAAATAATTTCCAGGGGACTGTCCAGCTCCAAAATCCCCTGATTCTGCTTTTTCAGATTAAAATTATAATTTCTCATTTGCTTATAATAAAAGTAGATTGAATAAATTAATCAGAAGGGTTTGGTTTGTTTGACCTTTTTTTTAATTTTAATTTTTATTTTTTATTTTTTGAGACAGAGTTTCCTCTGTCTCCCAGGCTTGGTTGTTGTGGCTCAATCTCAGTTCACTGCAACCTCCGCCTCCCGGGTTCAAGCGATTCTCCCGCCTCTGCCTCCCGAGTAGCTGAGATTACAGGCACCCACCATCATGCCCAGCTAATTTTTTGTATTTTTGTAGAGACAGGGTATCACCATGTTGGCCAGGCTGGTCTTGAACTCCTGACCTCAGGTACTCCGCCCACCTCAGCCTCCCAAAGTGCTGGGATTACAGGTGTGAGCCACCACGCCTGGCCTGTTTGACCTTTATAAGATCAATTTTTTTGTTCACAAGCATTTCTTTACTCATAGATACCATTTTTATAACTTATATGAGACGCATTTAATGTAATCATATTACTTTCTTATATTAGAAGATAGGATTTCTTCTGATGTATCGAAGTTACTTTATACTTCATATGAAGTCATTAGGAGGTGAATTATTGCCAATTCAATGAATTATTTATGAGTATTAGGGGAATGTTTTTGTTATGCTGCTTTTAATTTGGAAAGCAGCATATCACTCAAACTATAGTAATTCACATTTTTCCATTTAACTAAAAATGTCTCGTAACTACTATGCCACAAGAACAAGCATGGATACTTATTTAACCAGCCAAGACTATGCATTTCTAAATATTTATTTTTTTCGGTTATCCGTAGACTTTTCCTTTTGAAATCCAACGATCTGTATCAACCACGTCTTCATTTTCCTTTTCCTGTTTGTCTTACTCTCCCCCCAAAAAGAGTCAGTTTCCTGTTTTCTCAATTTCTCAGTTTAAAATTAGAGCCCTATGGCAGGTGCCATGTACAGCTGCAAAGGTGGCAAGAAGCCCTGAGAAAGCTCAAGAAGCAGGTCAAGGGGGTGGGTAAGGAAGATGGGACGTTCAAGCAGAAACAAAAAGAGGAGCTAAAAGTGAAAGCCACCCCGCCACCAGCCCTCACCAGTCACAGGTGGAATTAAAGAAATCTGGCAAAAAATAAATTTTGTTATCCGTGCTTGGGGCGGTGACCCTTGACCCCATTCCTATTTAAACATCTGGATTCTCTGCCATAACATCTTTTGCCACCTATAGCTACAATAAAGTGTCGTCTTGGAGTCTGTTGTACATTTAAGAATAAACTTTTGTAAGGAAGTAAAAAAGAGTCTACAGTTCAGTGCAGGATAGGGATGGGTGGGCCTTAATTCAGGAGGTGGGAGGCTCAAAATCAATTACTCTGTTGAGGAGATGGAATCTCCTGGAATCTCAAAAAGGATTTCCTTTAGGAATCATCAGACTCATCCGACTCGTCAAGTCTTTCTCTGCTTGGAGTTTTGTTTTGTTTTTATTTTGTTTTGTTTTGGAGATAGGTTCTCCCTCTGTCACCCAGGCTGGAGTGCAGTGGTGCAATCACAGCTCACTGCAGCCTCGAATTCCTAGGCTCAAGTGATCCTCCCACCTCAGCCTCCTGAGTAGCTGGGACTACAGGTGTGCACCAACAGGCCCAGATAATTTTATTTTTTGTAGAGACGGGGTCTTGCTATGTTGCCAGGCTGGTCTCCAACTCCTGGCCTCAAGTGATCCTCTTGCTCTGCCTCCCGAAGTGCTAAAATTACAGCTGTGAAACACCGCGCCTGGAGTTTAAAAGCAAGATTAACCTTTTTGGACTGGAGTTCTTAGAGAATTATGGTGTGACTCATTGACCATATTTGTTAGGATCAGCATTTTTATATGATTTAACACAAAATGTTACAGAAAAAAGTGCAAAAATGTTGTAAGGCACAGTTGGTTTCCTAAGCAAATGCCCATTCCTATTCTTTGTTCATCTCCACTCTAGAGGCTAGAAATACTAAATTCTCTTTTTACCTCGTTGCCTTGTAGAGGGATGATCATATGACATTTCACCAATGGCACATAATTCAAAGTCTGCTGAGGATTTCTAGGGTATCCTGATTAAAAGGGACAGATGTGGCTGGTAGTGTCTATTACCACCTCCTTCCTGCCTTAAATGTAGCTGCGGATGTCTAGAATTGTGCTAATCAGCTTATGACTATAAAAGAGAGGTGAAGAGAGCCAGATCTGAAAGTGGTGAGCCGACCAGGCACAGTGGCACACCTGTAACCCCAGCACTTTGGGAGGCCGAGGGAGGAGGATCATTTGAGCCCAGGAGTTTGAGACCAGCCTGGGCAACATTGCAAAACCTGTTCTCTGTGAATAACTTAAAAATTAGTCAGGTGGCCAGGCGTAGTGGTTCACACCTGCAATCTCAGCACTTTGGAAGGCTGAGGTGGGTGGATCACCTGAGGTCAGGAGTTCGAGACCAGCCTGACCAACATGGAGAAACCCTGTCTCTACTAAAAATACAAAATTAGCTGGGCGTAGTGGCTTATGCCTGTAACCCCAGCTACTCGGCAGGCTGAGACAGGAGAATCGCTTGAACCAGGGAGGCAGAGGTTGCAGTGAGCTGAGACCACGCCATTGCACTCCAGCCTGGGCAACAAGAGTGAAACTCCATCTCAAAAAAAAAAAAATTAGGTATATTGGTGTGCACCTGTGGTCTCAGCTACTCAGGAAGCTGAAGCAGGAGGATTGCCTGATCCTGGGAGGTTGAGGCTGCAGTGAGCCATGATCATGCCACTGCACTATATGCTGGGCAACAGAGGGAGACCCTGTCTCAAAAACAAACAAAACAAACAAAAATAAGCAAAAAAAAAAAAGTGTTGAGCAGCTAAAACAATGCCGTTAGATGCCCTATCTCTTAAAAAAAAAAAAAAAAAGATAAAATAAAAGAAATTGGGTCTTGTGGCCAGGTGCGGTGGCTCACGCATAATCCCAACACTTTGGGAGGCTGAGGTGGGTGGATCACTTGAGCCCAGTAGTTTGAGACCAGCCTGGCCAACACGTCTTCTTGTTCTAGATGAAAAGTAAACCCCTATTTGGCTTACTCACTTAAAAAAATAATAATAATTAGAGACAGGGTGTTGCTATGTTGCCCTGGCTGGTCTCACTCCTGGGTTCAAGTGATCCTCCTGCCTCAGCCTCCCAAAGTGCTGATATTACAGGCGTGAGCAACCATGCCAGCCTGGCTTAGCCACTTTTAATTATTACTCGTAGCTGCAAGAATGCCAATGAGCATTTGGGGTAAAAAGGGGCAAGAATGGAGGACCTGCTCTGTCTGTCGGACTTTGGAACTCAGGAAGCAACAACTAAGCGTACTCGTTGTCTTAGTCCATTTTGTGTTGCATAGAACAGAATACCTGAAACTGGGTCATTTATAAAGAAAAGGAATTTATTTCTTACAATAGTGGAGACTGAGAAGTCCAAGGTACAGGGTCCACATCTGGTGAGAGACTTCTTGTTCCTGGGAACTCTCTGCAGAGACCCAAGGTGGCAGAGGGCCTCACGTGGTGAGGGACTTGAGCATGGTAGCTCAGGTCTCTCTTCCTCTTCTTATAAAGGCACCAGTCTCACTGGGCAGAGCCTTCATGACCCAGTCACCTTTTAAAGGCGCCATCTCTCAATATTGCCACATTGGGGATGTTTCCAGATGAGTTTTGGAGGAGACAAATATTCAAACTACAGCACTGGTTAAAAATAAAAATAGGGCCTGGCGTGGTGGCTCACGCCTGTCATCCCAGCAGTTTGGGAGGCTGAGGCAGATGGATCACCTGAGGTCAGGAGTTCGAGACCAGCCTGGCCAACATGGTGAAACCCCGTCTCTACTAAAAATATAAAAATTAGCCAGGCATGCTGGCGTGTGCCTGTAATCCCAGCTGCTCAGGAGGCTGAGGCAGGAGAATGGCTTGAACCCGAGAGGCAGAGGTTGCAGTAAGCTGGAATCACACTATTACACTCCAGCCTGGGTGACAAGAGCGAAACTCTGTCTCAAAAAAAAAAAAAAAAAAAAAAAAAAAAAAAGGCCAGACTTGGTAGCTAACACCTGTAATCCCAGCACTTTGGGAGGCCAAGGCAGGAGGATCACTTGAGGTCAGGAGTTGGAGACCAGCCTGGCCAACATGGTGAAACCCCGTTTCTACCAAAAATACAAAAATTAGCCGGGCATGGTGACGTGTGCCTGGCAGAGGTTTCAGTGAGCCGAGATCATGCCATTACACTCCAGCCTGGGTGACAAGAGCAAAACTCTGTCTCACAAAAAAAAAAAAAAGGCCAGGCATGATGACTCACGCCTGTAATCCCAGCGATTTGGGAGGCCGAGGCAGGTGGATCACTTGAGGTCAGGAGTTGGAGACCAGCCTGGCCAACATGGTGAAACCCAATCTCTACTAAAAATACAAAAATTAGCTGGACGTGGTGGCAGGCGCCTGTAATCCCAGCTACTCACTCAGGAGGCTGAGGCAGGAAACTCACATGAACCCTGGAGACGTAGGTTGCAGTGAGCTGAGATCACATCACTGCACTCCAGCCTGGGAGACAGAGTGAGACTCCGTCTCAAAAAAAAAAAAAGAAAAGAAAAATTAGTCAGCTGTGATGGTGTGCACCTGTAGTCCCAGCTACTCTGAAAGCTAAGGCACGAGAATCGCTTGAACCTGGGAGGCGGAGGTTGCAGTGAGCTGAGATCATGCCACTGCACTCCAGCCTGGATGACAGAATGAAACTGTGTCTCAAAAAGAAAAAAAAAAACAAAAACTAGTAGCTAGCCCCACCCCCGCCATTTTTCCAGACTCCAGAGAGTGGGGTGTGTGGAAGACAGGGACTGGTCTGGTGGCATGTAGATTCATAAATGGCGTCCAAACCTGGAGCTGTTGCTGGCTTGGAATGAATGAACCAGTTCCAGCCAGGAACAGACTTTCCCACCAAGTGGGAGGTGGTCTACCTGCCCTTCACCATCATCTTTGTGCTCTCTGACACTGGTCATCCTCAGTTACCCAATATACCCCTCGCCCCAGCCCCATCCCTAGTCACCCCTCATTCCTAGTAGTACCCCCAGTTCTGCTTCAATTTGATTCAGCAGATCAAGAAAGCACTATCACCAATGGTCGCAAGGTCATGCTTAAGTCTTGGAACTGGCCATCAGTGTGAAAGTTCAACAGGTATTCAGTAAGCAGATCTAGGAAAAACTCACTCTAATAACGTTCCAGGAATTTCCTAAGACCATAGTGGGAGACAGCTGCATCAGAGGCCTCCCAGTGCCATAGGACCATGGACATTGGTGAGCAACTGTGTGCTGGGAGGAAATGGCTGCTTATTGGCATGGAGTTATTGAATGCAGAACTTTTCAGCCAAGCACAGTGCTATTCTTCTGAAATCATAACATCATGAGGACATCCACTGCTTGTACTCAAATAGCATTCCTCACAGGAATGTCACACCTGTGACTCTCTCATACCTCCAAAA
This sequence comes from Homo sapiens, assembly GCF_000001405.40. Lineage (NCBI taxonomy): Eukaryota > Metazoa > Chordata > Mammalia > Primates > Hominidae > Homo > Homo sapiens. The sequence continues at coordinate 68,777,417 of NC_000012.12, forward strand.
TCTCACTGCTGTTCTGAAACGCAAGAGATTTTGCCAAGGAAATGCTGACATTCCTTCTGTCCACTCCTCTCCCCACACTGCACTGTGTGGCCCCAGAGAGGAAAGACAAGGGCTGTTACCATGGAGTTCTTGAATTTCATTATTTATCTCCCAACACAACTTTGGCCTCACCCTCTTCCCCAGCGTGAAGACGCACAACCCAAGTGGGACAGTCTGAATTTCCCCACCCTCAGGTGTCAGAGAATCAGAGGAAGTCATGCTGCTTATCTAGAATCTGCTAGAAATGGAGTTCACCCAAAGAATGACCATCACAGAATTTATGAACTACTCCTAGATCATGCAATTAATAAGTCCTCTAGCCCAGTACCACTCAAGGTAGGGTCTGGGCCCCAGTACCAGTCCATAAACAGTTTGCTGCCGGCTGGGTGTGGTGGCTCATGCCTATAATCCCAGCACTTTGGGAGGCCAAGGTGGGCGGATCACTTGAGATCAGGAGTTTAAGACCAGCCTGGCCAACATGGTGAATCCCCGTCTCTATAAAAAGTACAAAAATTAGCCAGGTATGGTGGTATGTGCCTGTGATCCCAGCTACTCGGGAGGCTGAGGTGGGAGGATCACCCAAGCCCAGGGAGGTCGAGGCTGCAATGAGCCACCGTGATGGTGAACTGCACTCCAGCTTGAGTGACAGAGTGAGATCCTGTCTCAAAAAAAAGGGCGGGGTGCGGGGATTTTGGGTAGTAATATCAATAGCAGACAAAATAGAATTTGAGGCAAAAAGTGTTAATAGGATCAAGATTTTTTTTTTTAAAGAACAATCCACCACAAACATAGCAATCATGAACAACCCAGAAAACAGCATGAAAATTAAAAGGAAAATTGAGATTTTAAATACTTCTAATAGAGGTGATAGAGCAGGCAGCAGGGAAGTTAGTAACCTTGTCTAATAGGTTATCTGTACTCAACAAGCCTAGAACACACACTCCTTTCAAGTACCTGAGGAATGTTTATAACAGTAAAGATGAACAGAGATCATATTATAAATAGTTGGAAGATTTATTTTTTATTTTGTTTTTTAGAAACAGGGTCTTGCCGGCCAGGCGTGGTGACTCATGCCTGTAATCTCAGCACTTTGCAAGGCCGAAGCGGGTGGATCACCTGAGGTCAGGAGTTTGAGACCAGCCTAGCCAACATGGCGAAACCTCGTCTCTACTAAAAATACAAAAATTAGCTGGGCGTAGTAGTGGGTGCCTATAATCCCAGCTACTTGGGAGGCTGAGGCAGGAGAATTGCTTGAACCGGGAGGGTAGAGGTTGCAGTGAACCATGGTCGCACCACTTCACTCCAGCCTGGACAAAAGAGCAAAACTCCATCTCCAAAAAAAAAAAAGAAAAGAAACTGAGTCTTATGGCTGGATGCAGTGGCTCACGCCTGTAATCCCAGCACTTTGGGAGGCCAAGGTAGGTGAATCACTTGAGCCCAGGAGTTTGAGACCAACCTGGCCAACATGGCGAAACTCCATCTCTACTAAAAATACAAAAGTTAGTTGGGCGTGGTGGTGTGCCCCTGTAATCCCAGCTACTCAGGAGGCTGAGGCAGGAGAATTGCTTGAACCCAGGAGGTGGAGGTTGCAATGAGCCACTGCACTCCAGACTGCATTCCAGCCTGGGCGACAGAACAAGACTCTGTCTCAAAAACAAAAACAAAAACAAAAAACTAGGTCTTTCTCTGTGGCCGACGCTGGAGTGCAGTGCCTTTTTGCAGGCACAATCATAGTGCACTGCAGCCCTGAACTCCTTGGCTCAAGTAATCCTCCTGCCTCAGCCTCCTGAGTAACTGGGACTATAGGTATGCCCTACCATGTGTGGCTATATTTGGTAGGTTTTAAATGAAAAGATTTTTGTTTTCTGTACATTTATTTAAATTTAAAAAGTATTTAAGCCATCTTTAAGAAACTTAATGTTGAGAATGTTCTAGAATAGTGAGTCATTAGATTTCAAAATATTGGTATTGAACCAGATGGTCTTGTGGCTTCAAAGAAGTCTCTGAAGTCACTCCAGGTGATATTAAAAGTACAGTGCTAGGACTGTCTGACCCAAAATATGTGGCTGGAACCAGAAAGGATATAAGCATGGTTTGAGAAGGAAAAAAAGCTTAACAAGGGGGAATTGAGGAAGCCATTTGCAAAACTTCACAGGAAAGTTAAATGAATGAATGAATAAAATGTGATTAATAAATATGGGGGCCAGGTACAGTGGCCTGCATCTGTAATCCCAGTGTTTTGGGAGGCCAAGGCAGGAGGTGCACTTGAGGCCAGGAGTTCAAGACCTGAGCAACACAGCAAGACCCCCGTCTCTATAAAAAATTTTATAAAATTAGCCGGGCATGGTGGTAGACACCTGTAGTCCCAGCTACTTGGGAAGATGAGGCAGAGGATTGCCTGAGCCCAGGAGTTTGAGGTTATAGTGAGCCATGACTGTGCCACTGCACTCCAGCCTGGGCAACAAAGTGAGACCCTGACTCTAAAAGTAAAATTAAATTAAATTAAAAATAAGTGGATAAATATGGGTTATGCTGTGAAGCATAGAGGGAGGGATGAAGAGGGACATTTTAAGCCACTTCTCTGGCCCCAGTTTCTAACATTATTTCTAAAATGCAGGATATCTGGTTATCCCAAACCAGTTATATTTTTATTTAAATTTGCTCAAAATTTTTATTTTTAAATCTTAACAATTTCTAAAATCACACTTTTTAATTTATTTTGTATTTTTTTGAGACAGGGTCTTACTTTGTCACCCAGGCTGGAGTGCAGGGGCACAAACATGGCTCACTGCAGCCTCGACCTCCCAGCCTCAAGTGATACTCCCGCCTCAGCCTCCCAAGTAGCTGGGACTACAGGCATGCACCACCACACCTGGCTAATTTTTTTATATTTTGTTTGTAGAGATGGGGTTTCACCATGTTGCCCTGTCTAGTCTTGAAACCTTGAGCTCAAGAGATCTGCCCACCTTGGCCTCTCAAAGTGCTGGGATTACAGGCGTGAGCCGTCCTGCCTGGCCTAGTCACACTTTTTTTTTTTTTTTTTTTTTTGGAGACAGAGTTTCACTCTTGTTGCCCAGGCTGGAGTGCAATGGCATGATCTGGACTCACCGCAACCTCCGCCTCCTGGGTTCAAGCGATTCTCCTGCCTCAGCCACCCAAGTAGCTGGGATTATAGGCATGCACCACTATGCCCGGCTAATTTTGTATTTTTAGTAGAGACAGGGCTTCTCCATGATGGTCAGGCTGGTCTCGAACTCCTGACCTCAGGTGATCTGCCCGCCTCGGCCTCCCAGTGTTGGGATTATAGGCATGAGCCACCGCGCCCAGCTAGTCACGCTTTTTAGTCAAGATTTTTAAAAATGTCTGCATGCTTTTCTGAGAGCCTTACCTCTCTTGTGATTTGAAGCATTTTCTCCACCAGGCCTAAGGCTGAAGGAATGTAGTTTGCTGCCCTTCAGTCTATGACAAGGAGGTCTGTTTCCTCCAACGCCTGCCTTTTAGACAGAGTGTTGATTCACAGGGAACAGAGGCAGACCTGGGGCTGACACTGAATGAATGCTACTCACAGCAGTAAGGGGAAAAGTGGGAAAGTCTTGTTTATGCTGTGGCTGATGTGGATGTCTTTGGGGAAGAAAAATTCAGGATGAGTTTATTGAGAGCATTATTTTTGAAAGTATAAGATTTGTGATTGTAATATAAACTTAAATCACTTTGGGAATGAATTTAAAAAATCTATGTGACACAAATTAATCATCATTCTCATTGTAAATTTGGCAAAGTATTTGTAATTAGGAATATCTGTCATACTGGCACTGGGCAAATTATTCTGAATGTTCCCATGCTGAAGATTCTCTCAAAAAGGGAAAAAACAAGATCCTTTGTTTGTATAAGTACAATCAGTTTGCTGAATAAAACCTTTATAGCTACAATTATAACAGGATTGTTTCTACATTTTAGCTTGGAGATCCCATGACTACTCTGTTTTGCTAATAATAAACCAATACAGTGCTACAGAGATGTTTCTTTCATTAATGTGTTGCCTTCCCTTGCCTTGCCTTGCCTTGCCCTGCCTTGCCCTGCCTTGCCCTGCCTTGCCCTGTCTTGCCTTGCCTTGCCTTGCTTTCTTTTTTTGAGACAGGGTCTCACTCCATTGCCCAAAATGGGATGCAGTGGCATGATCTCGGTTCACTGCAATCTCTACCTCCCAGGCTCAAGTGATCCTGCCACCTCAACCTTCCAAGTAGCTGGGACCACAGGCATGCGCCACCATGCCAGGTTAATTTTTTGTATTTTTTTTTGGTAGAGATGGGGTTTCTCCATGTTGCCTAGGCTCATCTTGAACTCCTGAGCTCAGGCGATCTGCCTGCCTCGGCCTCCCAAAGTGCTGGGATTATAGGAGTGAATCACCGTACCCGGCCTCATTACTATGTTTTCTAAAGTTGTTTCATTCCTACCTTTCTCCTCGAAGCCCCTCAGCTTCAAATATTCAACAAACCATGATTCTGACCTCTATGCTTTCTTTATTCTCTTCGTAGCTCTGTGAGAGCAAAAAACTTACCTGTCCCCAGTGGGTAAAACAGTGTTGCACACAGTTTAGACATTGTCTTTATCATCTCTAAGCTGATAATTCTCATATCCAAGTCTTTAGTTCTATGCTCTTGTCCATAGTTTACTGTTGTTCTTTCAAGAAAAAATGGTGTCCCATGAAAAAAGCAGTGTACTGCAGCACAGAATTCAATCTCTAGGAAGGTTATTCTTGAGATAACCAATGTATATACTTTGGTGTGCAGAAGTGCTTATATGTGCTTTCCATTGTATCATACAGAGTACTAAAAAGATGTGCACTCAAGGATCAAGACTAAATAAAATTAATAACTGTGACTGCTTCTTCAAGGACGTTCTTCAGTGAATTTTAAGAAAAACTGGCTTTTTAAACTGTTGAGTACATAGTGATGAACAATGACTGCTAATACAGCTGGTGCCATGGCTTTGATTCATGCCAAGGTAACAACAGTTTTACCTACCATTGCTTTTGTGCCATCATGCAAAGGTCCAAAAAGTGCAAAAAGCAAGTAAAATCTTAGTATTATTATGAGAGCTCTGACCTCATGAGACCTTTTTGGGGGTCCATGAACTACACTTTGGGAACGGCTGCCCTAAGCTTTTAGGATGTCATGGTAAACAAGATCACAAGGTCCCTGTCCTCATAGAGCTTAAGAAGACAAACATTTAACAAGTAGAGAAGTGACTAAGATGACTTCAGAGTATGATCAGGTCCCTGAAGAGAATAAACAAAGGGAATGTGATGGATAAACTAGGGGTTGGGGGGCTGGGGGGTGCGGCTTTTGAAAAACTTCCCTAAGGAAGTGACATCTGAGCCCAAAGCTCAAGGATGAAAAACTAGGTCTGCCATGCACAAAACTGGGAAGAAGTTTCTGGAAAGATGACATAGCAAGGAAAGAAGTCTGAGGCAGGAATGATCTTGGCATTTGGGAGACAAGAATGAGAGCAGTAAGGCTAGATAACAGCAGTATTTTTATGGCCCTTAAAACGCCTTCAAGGCTGGGGGCCGTGGCTCACGCCTGTAATCCCAGCACTTTGGGAGGCTGAGGCGGTTGGATCACCTGAGGTCAGGAGTTCGAGACCAGCCTGGCCAACGTGGTGAAACTCCATCTCTACTAAAAATACAAAATTAGCTGGGCATGGTGGTGCATGCCTGTAAGGCTGAGGCAGAGGAGTTGCTTGAACCTGGGAGGCGGAGGTTGCAGAGAGCTGAGATCGCGCCACTGCACTCCAGCCTGGGCGACAGAGCGAGACTCCGTTTCAGAAAAACAAACAAACAAAAAGAAGAAAAAAAACTGCCTTCAGTGAGGATTCCATGTTATTATCATTAAAAATGATAATAACATGTTTAATCCTTGTAACAACCCATTTTACAGATGCAGAAACTGGTGTCAGAGCTAGAATACCAATGCAGTGCAGCCACAGAACCCACACTCATAATCTTTAAAGCCTCTTTTAGAGAAAATCACTCCATGGATTAAAACTGCCTTGTTAATGCATATAAAAGTGTGTGTATGTGTGTGTGTGTGTGTGATCTTATTTATCCCTCTTTGCCTTAGGTCTGGGGAACTGGAAGCTATCAAAGCCATTCTGACACCTCGTTGGAATCTATCACTTGAGGGAGGAACAGTAGCCATAAGCTCAGTGAAAAGGAGTTTGTGAATAATTCCCCTGAAAAGTTTCTCTCTCAATTTGAGCAGTCATAGATGCATTGCTTCTTTTTGAACCTGTGTCTTATTCTAATTGAGTTATAAAGAAACAACAATGAACTGTGGAACTGAACAGTCCACTCTGTGACAAGTTCCTCTGTACAGGTTGGTCATTGTGTGACTTTTCTAACTTCCATTATGGTCCAAAAAGGGGGTTACAAGGGTATGATGGCTGTTGTCAGATCTACACAGACAGGCCAGAGGCATGTAATTCCCTCTCTAGGAACAAACATCAGTCACCCTCAGGGGTAAGGGAACCCAGCTGTCAGCTTTGGTAGGAAAACGCAACCTTCTCCAGAACAAGGAAAATAAGACCACCCACCACGTCACATTCTTGAGGTGTTTGTGCTGATCCTTCTCTTTAATCTTAACATTGTGGAATCTCCACGGCTTTGCTTCCTCTCAGCCCGCTCTCACCCACTCCACCCATTCCAATACACAGGCACTGGGTGAAGGACGGAACTTAGCTCAAAAGGTCTCTATCGCTTGAGGTCGGGCTTGCTCCTTCGTGGTAGGCATTCCATCATCTGGATTGCAACAGAACTGCAAACCACATTGCTTTCTAAGAGACTAAACCCAAGAGACTAACCCCAGTCCAGGGCGTAGCCACCTGCCTCTCAGCCCTAATTACAGACTGTACCTTCTGCTCATGAAGGAGCCCTGCTCTAACTTCTGGGAATTATATGGTTGCATTAAGGTATGGACACATTCCTTTTCTCTCTCGACACCAAAAAGGATACTATATCTGCTTGATCAATAGTCTACCTCTGACTTTAAAGTACTTACTAGAGTATAAGTTCCACAAGGGCAGGATCTTGTCTGTTTCTGTTTACCTTCGTATCCCCAGTACTGGCACAATGCCTGGTTCTTAGTATGTGTTCAATAATTATCTGTTGAATAAATGATTAAGTGAGTGATTTAACTGGACACGAAAACAGGCATATCAGCTGGGTGCAGTGGCTCACACCTGTAATCCCAGCACTTTGGGAAGCTAAAATGGGAAGGTCACCTGAGCCCAAAAGTTCAAGACCAGCCTGGGCAACATGGCAAAATCCTGTCTCTACAAAAAATACAAAAATCAACCAGGCATGGTGGCATGCACTTGTGGTCCCAGCTACTCAGGAGGTTGAGGTGGGAGGATCACCTGAGCCTGGGGAGGTCAAGGATGCAGTGAGCCATGATTGTGCCACTGCACTCCAGCCTGGCTGACAGAGTAAGAACCCATCTCAAATAAAATAAAATGGGTATATCAGTATAGTGAAAAAATTAATCATCCATTTGGTCTTTTATTCACTATTCCACAGATTTTATTGAGCACTGATTATGTCAGGCACTCTTTTCTTTTTTTTAGATAGAGTCTCGCTCTGTTGCTCAGGCTGGAGTGCAGTGGTGTGATCTCAACTCACTGCTACCTCTGCCTCCTGGGTTCAAGTGATTCTCCTGTCTCAGCCTCCCAAGTAGCTGGGATTACAGGTACCTACAACCATGCCCAGCTAATTTTTGTATTTTTAATAGAGATGGGGTTTCACCACGTTGGCCAGGCTGGTCTCAAACTCCTGACCTCAGAAGATCTGCCCGCCTTAGCCTCCCAAAGTGCTGGGATTACAGGCATGAGCCACTGCACCCGGCTGCCAGGCACTCTGAAATGCTAGGAATACAAAATTATTAGGCAAAGCAATCTAACCAAGGGGACTTTCCCAACTAATTAGACTCAAAGAAATAGTCTTTTATTCAGTCAGGAGCATGAGTCCTGCACACAGCACCCCGTATTATACTCTGAAAATTAGGAAGAAGTGGAAGATAGTGCCTTTCACCACAGAGCTTTCAATTTAGAGGCCAAAGAGCATGGCCAAATATTAAAAAGTTATGCAAGGACACAGATATGAACAAGGAAATATTAACGTACCACCAGCTGTACCAAAATGCTGCAGTTCTCTGAGTAATCAAGTGATCATTACTCATGGTATCTCAGTCAGATTTCAGACTAGCAAGATCAACCTTGCTAGTCTCTCTTTTAGGAACTCAGTTCTTTTCCTTCTAATGCCTCATCCCAGTTTGCAATTATATATTTATTTGCTTCTTGTATTTCTCCTTTACTATACTGCAAGCTCAAAAAAGGCACAGGTTATATATGTTTTAATCAGGCTATATTTTAAATGCCTTGCACTGTGCCAGTAAATATTCGTTAAATATATGAATTGCTGGGTATGATGGTGTGAGCCTGTGGTGCCAGCTACTTGAAAGGCTGAGGTGGGAGGATCGCTTCAGCCCAGGAGTTCAAGGTTGTAGTGCACTACAGTCATGCCTCGAATAGACTTTGCACTCCAACCTAGCCAACATAGCGAGACCCTATCTCTAAAAGTAAATGAATTAATTAATGAATTAAGGGTCACAGCCAAATTCATGCTTAAAATATTTTGATACTTGGCCAAGAGGATAGTGGCAGTAAATCAATAAACTGGTTGATGGTGAACTTCTTTTTTGTTGTTGTTGCGGGGTTTTTTTGTTTTTTATTTTTTGAGACAGGGTCTCTGACCCCCAGGTTGGACTACAGTGGCACAATCACAGCTCATTGCAGTCTCAAGCCACCTTCCTGGGCTCCGGCAATCCTCCTGCCTCAGCCTCCCAAAGCACTGGGATTACAAGCATGAGCCATCCCACCTAGCAATGATGTGTGTACTTGTGACATGATGCATAGGATTTACCTTTCCACACTCAGCTAAATAACTGTTTCAATTTTGCTAGGAAAGTTCTGGTCTAGTTTGGTCTGGACTCTAGTTTACTTTTCTTTCTTTTTAACCTTACTTACTTTTTATTTTATTTTTATGTGTTTATTTTTTGAGACATAGTCTCGCTCTGTCACGCAGGCTGGAGTGCAGTGGCACGATCTCGGCTCACTGCAACCTCCACCTCCCAGGTTCAAGCGATTCTCCTGCCTCAGCCTCCCGAGTAGCTGGGACTACAGGCGTCTGCCACCACGCCCGGCTAATTTTTGTATTTTTAGTAGAGACGGAGGTTTCACCATATTGGCCAGGCTGGTCTCGAACTCCTGACCTCGTGATCTGCCCACCTTGGGCTCCCAAAGTGCTGGGATTACAGGCTTGAGCCACCGCGCCTGGCCTAACCTTACTTACTTTTTAACTGTGGCAAAGACTCTAGTCTTCTTTTAAGAGTAACTACAATTTACTTTTTAAAATTATTAAATAATTTTCTATCATACTTTTATGTGCTGTGTTTTATGGATTATGTGTTTTATGTGCTGAATTTATGTTTTTAAATCACTTTTTAAGTTATCTGCATCACTTTTAAGCAAGGTGGTGAGAGATAAAAACCATGTCGCTTTACTTTTAAAGTGAATGACCGCCTCTAAGCTTGAAAACATCACAGTTAGACTGTGTCATTTTCTGGTCTTTAGGTGGAGCCACTGCTATTGCAGGTTTCCTAAACCTAAACCTATTTATAGAGAAATTCCTCTTCAGTCATTTTATAACCAAAGCCTCTTGTAAGTATTTAACATTACATTTTAGCTCAGTGAATTTCACTATATAGGAAAGATCCTGAGAGAACTAACAATATAAAATATGTAGCCAATTCATACATATTTTAACATTCAGAAATACTACTTATTAGAATTTGAATTTATTTCTCAGACTTTTCTGAGAGGTTAGAAGGGCCCTGTTGTGTTTAACCCAAAGACCAGTTCAAAAACTAGGGAAGGAGCTGTTTAAGAGGAAGGAATGACTAACGTCTGAAGGTCAGAGGACTAAAATCCTGGTGATTGAACAAGTTGCAACACATGGGTTTTCCCTCTAAAAAAACAAAACAAGCCGGGCAAAAAAAAAAAAAAGAAAAAAACAAACAAAAAACATTCTGTGCTGGCCCCAGTAATTACTTGTACCCTTGCTCTTTCATTTCCTCTTCTAATGATAAAGGAAGCTGCAGTTGCTCAACTTGTGAACTGAAAACATGGGACAGCAATGACACAGGAAAATGGGCAAGTCCAGGCAAAAGCCCGTGCGGTGGCCAGAGTCCGGGCCTGCCTGCTTTCCCATCATTTTCCTTTCCCATGTTTGTTCTTTTCTTCTTTTCGCCTTGATTTCTTATCGTGTTCCTTTTTTTTTTTTTTTTTGAGATGGAGTTTCGCTCTGTCACCCAGACTGTAATTCAGTGGCACGATCTTGGCTCACTGTAAACTCCTCCTCCTGGGTTCAAGCAATTCTTCTGCCCCAGCCTCCCAAGTAGCTGGGATTACAGGCGGGTGTCACCATGCCTGGCTAATTTTTGTATTTTTAGTAGGCACGGGGTTTCACCATGTTGGCCAGGCTGGTCTCGAATTCCTGACCTCAAGTGATCCACCTGCCTCAGCTTCCCAAAGTGCTTGGATTACAGGTGTGAGCCATCACAACCGGCCTGTTACATTTTTTTAAAAAATATTTTCCACCACCCCTTTTTCCTTGTATCACACCTCTCCTTTAAGCCCACAAGTTAAAGCATTGATGAACACTTCTACTTCAACTTGGGAATATTAATACAAAAAAAAGACCCAGCACTCACTGAAGTACAACACAAAGCAAATCCCTTTTACTACAAATTCCTTTTTCTACAGCTCTTTCCAATGGATTTAAATTGTTCTTAAATGAAATTTTTAAACATATAAAATTGGGAAACATTTTAATTTTCATAGAGACCTATAAATCCATGTTTTCCCAAATTTAGTCCTGTCGAGGGTATGGGAAAACAAGTACCATCTTACATTCATCATGAGACCATAAATTGCATAGCCACAAAAATGCTCATGCCCTGTAACCCAGAAAATCCACTTTCAGGAGTTTATCCTAAGAAAGTAAAGATGTGCAAAAAGATTTTCTTTGTAGATGGGGTCTCACTGTCACCATGGCTGGAGTGCAGTGGCAAGATCATAACTCATTGCAGCCTCAAACTTCCATGGTCAAGCCATCTTCCTACCTCAGCCTCCTGAGTAGCTGAGACTACAGGCTTATGACACCGAGTGTGCCTAAGTTTTTTATTTTTTTTTTAATTTTTTTGTAAAGACAAGGTCTCTCTTTGTTGCCCAGGCTAGTCTTGAGCTCTTGGCCTCAAGTGATTCTCTGGCCTCAGCCACCTGAAGTACTGGGATTACAGGTGTAAGCCACCACGTCCAGCCCTGCATAAAGATTTTTGTGCAGAGAAGTTTATCACAGCATTATTATTATTATCATTTTTAGAGACAGGGTCTTGCTCTGTTGCCCAGGCTGGAGTGCAGTGGTGCGAGTATAGCTCACTGCAACCTCCAACTCCTGGGCTAAAGCAATCCTCTTGCCTCAGTCTCCTAAGTTGGTGTGCACCATCAGGCTGAGAAACATTATTGATAATAGCAAAAAAAATAGGAAAGCAACTAAATGTCCAACAGTTCTTGGTCCACCCGTCCATGTGACTCACCAGTCTTCTGGAAAGGCCTGGGATTTTTAACCTTATGCTTGCCACCTAAACCTCTGCTGGATGAGTGAGGCCCTAGAGATCAATAGACCTCTCTAGTTAATGATTACTAGTCTTCTCCCATTTCTAAGTACACACAGCTTGGTTTCCCCACCTTTATCAACATGCTGCTTAGAACATCTAACTATTTTCAATTGCAACTCCTTCCACCTTCCACTGTAAGAACTATAGTTTTTGGGCTGGGCGCGGTGGCTAACGCCTGTAATCCCAGCACTCTGGGAGGCTGAAGCGGGTGGATCACCTGAAGTCAAGAGTTTGAGACCAGCCTGATCAATATGGTGCAACCCCGTCTCTACTAAAAATACAAAAAAAACCAAATTAGTCAGGTGCGGTGGCATGTGCCTGGGTGACTGTCTCAAAAAAAAAAAAAAAAACAAGAACTATAGTTCTTGTTTTGTTTTGTTTTTTGAAACAAGGTCTTGCTCTGTCACCGAGGCTGGAGTGCAGTGGCACCATCACGGCTCACTGCAACCTCGAACTCCCTGGCTCAAGTGATCCTCCTACTTCAGCCTCCTGAGTAGCTGGGACAGTTTCTTTTAAAAATTATGATTATTGGCTGGGTGCGGTGGCTCACACCTATAATCCTAGCACTTTGGGAGGCCGACGCAAGTGGATCATGAGGTCAGGAGATCGAGACCATCCTGGCTAACACAGTGAAAACCTGTCTCTACTAAAAATACAAAAAATTAGCCGGGCATGGTGGTGGGCACCTGTGGCCCCAGCTACTCGGGAGGCTGAGGCAGGAGAATGGCGGGAACCCGGGAGGTGGAGCTTGCAGTCAGCCAAGATTGCACCACTGCACTCCAGCCTGGGTGACAGAGCAATACTCTGTCTCAAAAAAATAATAATTAAAAAAATTTAAAAATTATGATTATCGTATTCCCCAGGGCAGAGCATCCAAGTTAATAGGCACTTAGCAAGTTTTTATTGAATGAGTGAATAAATGAATGAGATGTTTACAATCTGCCTTGAATATAATTAGCTCTACTTCAAATTGTCGGCCTATAATCCCTCAGCAGAAACAAATCATTTACATAGTAATCCCATGGGGAAGAAAATGACTGTGATTCATAACATTTAAAATTTTAAACAAAACAACAGCAATGATGTGGTCATCTATTCATTCAACAAATGTACTAAGTACCTTCTATGGACCAGATGCGAAAGCCCTGGAGATGGAATCATAGAATTAGAAATTAAGAAAACTGTATGGATTATGCCTATAATCCCAGCACTTTGGGAGCCCGAGGCGGGCGGATCACCTGAGGTCGGGAGTTTGAGACCAGCCTGACCAAAGTGGAAAAACCCCATCTCTACTAAAAATACAAAACTAGCCAGGGGGGAGGGGGGTGGCGCGGTGGTGCATGACTATAATCCTAGCTACTCAGGAGGCTGAGGCACAAGAATTGCTTGAACCCAGGAGGCAGAGGTTGCAGTGAGCCGAGATCACGCCATTGCACTCCAGCCTGGGCAACAAGAGCAAAACTCTGTCTCAAAAAGAAAAAAAGAAAAAAAAAACTGTATGGATTAAGATGTTTAAACAATTAAAGAGGCCAGGCATGCATGCCTGTAATCTCAGCACTTTACGGGGCTGAGACAGGACTGCTTGAGCCCAAAAGTTTGAGACCAGGCTGGGCAACACAGGGAGATCCTGTCTCTACCAAAAATTTAAATATTAGCCAGGTGTGGTGGCGCTTACCTACAGTCCTAGCTACTTGGGAGACTGATGAAGGAGGACTGCTTGAGCCGAGCCCAGTAGGTTGAGGCTGCAGTGAGCTGTGATCGTGTCACTTCACTCCAGCCTGGGCAACACAGCAAGACTCTATCTCAAAAAATTTTCTTAAAAAGGCTGGATGCAGTGGCTCACATCTGTAATCCCAGCATTTTGGGAAGCCAAGGTGGGCGGATCACCTGAGGAGTTCAAGACCACCCTGGCCAACATGGTGAAATCCACTAAAAACACAAAAATTAGCCAGGTGTGGTGGTAGGTGCCTGTAATACCAGCTACTAGGGAGGCTGAGGCAGGAGACTCACTTGAACCCAGCGGGTGGAGGTTGCAGTGAAACGAGATTGCGCCACTGCACTCCCGCCTGGGTGACAGACCGAGACGCCGTCTTAATAATAATAATAATAATGTTAAAAAAATTAAAGAGACTGATTTATACACTGGAATATCAGTTCCTTAATTTGGAAGGTGGATCTACCTAAACAATGCATTTCCCCTCCATGAGCATCTCCTTTGCATCAAGGTACCTGTGAAATTAGATAGGTTAGCAGGAAGTTTATTTATTTATTTATTTTTGTTTTTTTTTTGAGACAGAGTTTCACTCTTGTTGCCCAGGCTGGAGTGCAATGGTGCGATCTCGGCTCACTACAACCTCCATCTTCCAGTTTCAAGCGATTCTCCTGACTCAGCCTCCCAAGTAGCTGAGATTACAGGCACCCACGTAGCTGGGATTACAGGCACCTGCCACCACGCCCAGCTAATTTTTGTATTTTTAGTAGAGATGGGGTTTCACCATGTTGGCCAGGCTGGTCTCAAACTCCTGACCTCGTGATCTGCCCACCTCAGCCTCCCAAAGTGCTGGGATTACAGGCGTGAGCCACTGCGCCCGGCCTGGTTAGCAGGAAGTTTTTAAGGACCATATAATCAGAGGTAAGGGAGTAGACTAATTTAGGAAGCTATTTCTTTCCAGCTATGGAAAGGCCTAGAAATTTTTATGTATTTTTCCAGTGAATTGATTATTCCTATGCTAGACAATCATGATCAAATTCTTACTATTTAATTGCCCTACTCCCTGTTTTTTTGAGACAGGATCTGGCTCTCTCACCCAGGCTGGAATACAGTGGTGAGGTCATAGCTCATTGCAGCCTCGGCCTCCCAGGCTCAAGTGATCCTCCCATCTCAGCCTCCTGAGTAGCTGGGACCACACACATGCACCACCATGCCTGGCTAATTTTTTTATTTTTGTAGGGATGGCATCTCCCTATGTTGCCCAGGCTGATCTTGAACTCCTGGGCTCCAGCAATCCTTCCACCTCAGCCTACCAAAGTGCTGGGATGACAGGTGCAAGCCACTGCACCTGGCCTAATTCTCATTTTTATATATTAATACTTCCTGTATATAAATGTGCTATGGAGTGGGCTGCAGTGGCTCCTGCCTGGCCTCAGTTACTTGGGAGGTTGAGGTGGGAGGATCGCTTGAGCCCAGGAGTTTAAGACCTGCCTGGGCAACATAGTGAGACCCCATCTCTACATCCAAATAAAATAAAATAAAATAAAAAGGTAAAAAAAAAAGAGAGAGAGAGAGCACGATAATTTTTGTACCAGGAATGAAAAGGGAGCCCAAAAATCTAAGCAGTGAGCAGGTGCTGAAACCAACGTACTCACAGAGCAAGCCAAACAGGATTAGACTTTATTACTGGGGACTGGGCTTGAACCTCCGGGCTGCAGCATCAGAGGCTAACAGAATGGAGAGTAAAAAGGTGGGCAAAAGACTTGGGGCTGGAAAGCAGCAGATGGGAGCAGAATTGACAGAACAGCACATGGCCAGGATATCCCTCCCCGCTAAAATACTAGGATACTGACTTAGAAAAGCAGAGGGTCAGGGAAATCTAAAAAAAAAAGACTGACATTTCTATTTAAGAGACATTGCCTAAATTGCTGATTAAATAAACAGATCCAACCAGATCTAAATAATATTGGACATTTAATTAGTTTTCCTATTACACTGCAGGTACAGCCTCAGGAATACTTATAGGCAAAATTAAAGTGCTACTTTTCTATCTGCCTCTCTGAGTTGGAGTGAGTTAAATGTGTAACCCCCACATTGTATATAATAATCTCTTACAATCTTGTTCATAGTGCCACCTATGGTCACGACCAATTAGAGCTGGTAAGGCAGCTGTACTGTTTGCTTCAGCCAATGAGGGTAAATGTACTATGTTGCTAAAACTCTCAGCCCATGAGTACTCTCCTGAGCTATCCTCAGCCAGGCATGCACTGCAAGATGGGTCATTTGTGCTTCTTTGGCTTAACTTTCTGCCATTGACTTTGGGTTCTAGGGAACAGATTGACCCCAAACATCTGACATAACCTACGTAAGTGACAGTGTTGGCTTAGAATAAAGAAACAAAGACTATCATGGCATTTTTTTAATAAAGCAAGTGTTACAGTGACCTGTTTTGGGGACTGCCAGAGATTAGGTGGCAGTTGCCTTCTAGATCTAGCCACAGGAGAAAAAATTAAAGAGCCATATGACTGTGAGGCAGATCCTCATCAGGGAGGAGGCGCAGTGTCTTTTTAACCACTTTGAAGACCAACAGCCAAGACATCTTGAGCTAGTTGTGGTGGACAGAGAGTTCCAAACACCTCAGCCACCAGGAAAAGGGAGTGGCCAGGAAGAGGCTGCAGGCTCAAGGGCTGGGATTCTCCCACCCACCTAAGGAACCTACTGAGCATCGAACCACTCCAACTTGCCTTGGGAGGAGGACTTGAATGCTACCAAAGACTGCTCGACAGGCCTGCAAGGCAGGACTACTTTTGTGAGAATTTGAAGACCATGCCGACCTGTCATTTAAAGCACCCATCTCTGCCTGAGCTGTCAGATTTGCCAAGTTCTGGGTTGTCTCATAATTATTTACTCAGTACAAAATAATACCAGCCATGATCCTCAGTGGTAAGTAGCAGAAATCAACTGTATTTGTTTGCTAAGGCTGTGCTAATAAAGTGCTGTAAACCATGTGGCTCAGAACAACAGAGTTTATTATTTCCAGTTCTGGAGGCCAGGTCTGAAATTAAAATGTCGGCAGAGCCATGGTTGATCTGAAGCCTCTAGGGATGGATCTATTTCAGGTCGCTCTCCTAGCTTTTGGTATTTCCTTGGATTTGTGCAACATAACTCCAATCCCCACATACTGTTCTCCCACTGTGTGTGTCTCTGGATCCAAATTTCCCCCTTTTATATGGACAGCAGTCACACTGGATTAGGGGCCCACCCTGCTCCAGTATGACTTCATCTTAATTGCATCTGTAACAACCTAAATATGGTCACATTCTGAGATAGAGGGGTTAGGACTTCAACATAAGAATTTTGGGGTTCATGGTTCAACCCATAACACCGACCTTGTATGCTTTAGGGAGAAAATGTAGTTAAATGATATTGGCTTAAAGAACCATTGGAAAGGCTGAAGTAGCAGCTTGGAAAATGAGCAGGTACAGGGGAGGCTGGGTGCAGCTGTTTCCTCAAATCATGCCCCAAAGCAGCCCAGTGAGGACATCCTGACCTCTGCAGGACCCTGGGCACCACAGCTTGGACTATTCCAGTATCTCTGACCTGCTATGCTGCTACTCCCAACTACCTTCGGGCACCCCACCCAGGAATGGAGCTACTAGATTTTGGCTTTTATACCACTTGTTCCCAATTTTAAGTCTAGGTAACAGCCTCTGTCCTAACCGCAAGGGAGGATAGGAAAGTAAGTACAGTCATGTGTCACTTAAAACAGGAATATGTTCTGAGAAATGTGTGCTTAGGTGATTTCATTGTTGTGTGAACATGACAGAGGTGTACTTACACAAACTGAGATGGTAGAGCCTACACATTTGGAACATGTGGTGTAGCCTATTGTTCTAGGCTACTATCTGTACAGCATGTTACTGTACTGAATACTGTAGGCAACTGTAACACAACCGTAAGTATCTGTGTGTCTAAACATATCTAAACATAGAAAAGGTACAGCAAAAATGCAGTATAAGAGATAAAAATGGCACACCTATATAATGCACTTACCATGAATGGAGCCTGCAGACTGGAAATTGCTCTCGGTGAGTCAGTGAGTGAGTGGTGAATCAATATGAAGGCCTAGGACATGACTGTACACTACTGTAGACTTTAGAAACACTGTACACTTAGGCTACACTAAATTTATTTAAAACATTTTTCTTTCTTCAATGATAAATTAGCCTTAGCTTACTGTAACTTTTTTTTTTTTTTTTTGAGACAGGGTCTGGCTCTGTTGCCCAGGCTGGATGGAGTGCAGTGGCACTATCTTGGCTCACTGCAAACCTCTGCCTCCTGGGCTCAAGCCAACCTCTCACCTCGGCCTCCTGAGTAGCTGGGATTACAGGCACACGCCACCACACCCAGCTAATTTTTGTATTTTTTGTAGAGATGGGGTTTTGCCATATTGCCTAGGCTGGTCTTGATCTCCTAAACTCAAGCAATCTGCCTGCCTCCGCCTCCCAAAGTGCTAGGAATACAGGCATTAGCCACCATGCCCGGCCAACTTTTTTACTTTATAAGCTTTAAAAATTTTTTTAAAACTTTTTGTAATAACACTTAGCTTAAAACATGAACACACTGTACAGCTGTACAAAAATATTTTCTTCCTTTATATCCTTATTCTATAAGCTTTTTCTATTTATTTATTTATTTTTAAGGCAGAGTCTTGCTCTATCGCCCAGGGTGGAGTGTATTGGCGTGATCTCCGTTCACTGCAACCTCCGCCTCCCGGGTTCAAGCAATTCTCCTGCCTCAGCCTCCCAAGTAGCTGGGATTACAGGTGTGTGCCACTACGCCCAGCTAATTTTTTTTAGTAGAGACGGGGTTTCGCCATGTTGGCCAGGCTGGTCTCGAACTCCTGACCTCAGGTGATTCACCCACCTTGGACTCCCAACGTGCTTGGATTACAGGCGTGAGCCACCGCACCTGGCCTATTTTTTTTTCTTTTTAAACATTTTTGTTAAAAACTAAAACACAAATGCGCACCTAGGCCTATACAAGGTCAGGATCACCAGTATCACTGTCTTCCATCTCCACATCTGGTCCCACTGGTACGTCCTCATGGGCAATTCCACTCACGGAGTTGCCATCTCCTATTGATATCAAGGCCTTCTTCTGGAATACCTTCTTTTTTTTTTTTTAAATAAGTAGAAAGAGTACACTCTAAAACAACAACAAATAGTATAGTAAATACATAAGCTGGTAACAGTGGCTTATGATCATTATCAAGTATGTGTACTGCACATAATTGTATTTTTTTTTAGGTGGAGTCTCGCTCTGTCGCCCAGGCTGGAGTGCAGTGGCACGATTTCAGCTCACTGCAAGCTCCGCCTCCTGGGTTTACGCTATTCTCCTGCCTCAGCCTCCCAAGTAGCTGGGACTACAGGTGCCCGCCACCACGCCCAGCTAATTTTTTGTATTTTTAGTAAAGATGGGGTTTCACTGTGTTAGCCAGGATGGTCTTGATCTCCTGACCATCGTGATCCGCCCGCCTCGGTCTCCCAAAGTGCTGGGATTACAGGCGTAAGCCACCGCGCCCGGCTGTATGTGCTATTTTTTTATACAGCTGGCAGCACAATAGTTTTGTTTACAGCAGCATCACCACAAATGTATGAGTAATGCCTTTCGTTACAGTATCAAGACAGCTACAATGGCAACAGGTGATAGGAATTTTCAGCTCCATTATAATCTTACCGGACCGCTGTCGTATGTGTGGTCTACATTGACTGAACCGTTGTTATGTGGTGCGTGACTGTATTTGGGCCATAAATATCTCTTCATATTGCTGGGAATAGGCCTCCATTAGGACTATGATCACCCACTCACTCTAGCTTATTAGAACACATCCCTATTATTATTATTATTTTGAGACAAAGTCTCACTCTGTCACCCAGGCTGGAATTCAGTGGTGTGATTTCGGCTCACTGCCACCTCTGCCTCCTGGGTTCAAGCAATTCTCGTGCCTCAGTCACCCGAGTAGCTGGGATTACAGGCATAAGCCACCATGCCTGGCTGACATCCCTAATATTAAATAACACATAATAAGATTGAAAAGGACAACATAATTACAGACATAGTAGAGACATACATCAAAAGATCATATCTAAAAAATAGAAAGTTGTGATAAATAATTTTCTAGAAAAATATAAACAAAATTGACTTCAGGAGAAATAAATCTAAATAATAATAATAATTATTATTATAGTTATTATTGTTATTATTTTGAGACAGTCTCACTCTGTTGCCCAAGGTGGAGTGCAGTGGCACAATCTCTACTTACTGCAACCTCCACCTCCTGGGTTCAAGTGATTCTCATGCTTGTAATCTTGAGTAGCTGGGATTACGGGCGCCCGCCACCACACCTGGCTAATTTTTGTATTTTTAGTAGAGATGGGGTTTCACCATGTTGGCCAGGCTGATCTTAAACTCCTGACCTCAGGTGATCTGCCCGCCTTGGCCTCCCAAAGTGCTGGGATTACAGGTGTGAGGCACTGCGCCTGGCCCAGCAGCTAATTTTTTTAAAAAACTGTTCATAGAGACAGGGTTTCACCATGTTGGCCAGGCTGGTCTCAAACTCCTGACCTCAAGTGATCCGCTTGCCTCGGCCTCCCAAAGTGCTGGGATTACAGGCGTGAACCATCGTGCCCGGCCCTAAACAATAATTATTTAAAAAATTAAAAATGGTAGTCAAAAATCTCTAATACCAAGACATCTTCAAGCCTAGTTTCATCAAACCTGCAATGAACAGATAATTCTAGTTTTATACAAACTGTTTTGGAGAATAGAAAAAGCTACTCAACTCATTTTATAACACCATTAAAACCTTGATCTCAAAACTGGACAAGAGTATATAAGGAAAGAACAATATACACCAATCTCTAAAACCCACACAAAAAAGCCCTAATTTAAAAAGATCAATATAAAGGGTTCCTTATTGGAGTTTTACTGCAACCAGATGTGTTTTGGTGACTGTACCATGTAATACCCTTTTTCTTTGGGAAGCAGCCTCCCTCAATGACATCTAATCCGAATCCATAATCTTTCAGTTCTTTTAGTTAGTTAGTCAGTTTGTTTGTTTTTTTGAGATGGAGTTTCGCTCTTTCGCCCAGGCTGGAGTGCAGTGGCACGATCTTGGCTCACTGCAACCTCCGCCTCCCGGGTTCATGCAATTCTCCTGCCTCAGCCTCCCGAGTAGCTGGGATTACAGGCACCTGCCACCACGCCTGGCTAATTTTTGTATTTCTAGTAGAAACGGGGTTTCACCATGTTGGCCAGGCTGGTCTCGAACTCCTGACCTCAGATGATCCGCCCGCCTCGGCCTCTCAAAGTGCTGGGATTACTGGCGTGAGCCACCGCACTTGGCAGTTCTTTTTTTTCTTTTTTCTTTGAGATGGAGTCTCGCTGTGTCGCCGAGGCTGGAGTGCAGTGGCGCGATCTGGGCTCACTGCAAGCTCCGCCTCCTGGGTTCATGCCATTCTCCTGCCTCAGCCTCCAGAGTAGCTGGGACTACAGGCGCCCACTACCACACCTGGCTAATTTTTTTGTATTTTTTTAGTAGAGACGGAGTTTCACCATGTTAGCCAGGATGGTCTCGATCTCCTGACCTCGTGATCCACCCGCCTCAGCCTCCCAAAGTGCTGGGATGACAGGTATGAGCCACCACGCCCGGCCAGTTCTTTTAGTTTTTAAAGCAGTCTCATTTCAGTTATTAATATTGACTTCTTCATTTTGAAACTTCAAATAATATTTGATTCAAAGCTTTCCTCCTCTTACCAGAGCAGGCTGGACCTGTGGCCCTGGTGACCTGGAATTGGAAATGGGGGTGTGGGATGTAGGGCATAGGTCTTCTTGTCACATCCCATTCTGTCTTCCCAATTATTACTTGTGGTACTCAGAATTCCAAGAATGACTCCCAGTGACCTTGCCTATGGATGATCCCCTCCCCTTTAAGCGTGGGAGGAACCTGTGAATATGAGGAGATATTACTCCCATCATTCTGTTACATTACATGGCAAAAGGGAGATGATCTGGGTTGGCCTCATCAAATCACATGAGCCTTTGAAGTCAGAGTTTTTTTCTGGCTGATAGCAGGAGAGTAAGTCAGGTTCAAAGCACAAGGGTGATTCAACACCCTGTTGCTGGCTTGAAGATGGAGGGGAGTGTGTAGCAAGGAATGCAGGAAGCCTTCAGGAGCTGAGAGTGGTCCTCACTGCTAGCAAGAAAAAGGGGACTACCGTCCTACAACCACAAGGAACTGAATTTGGCTGACAATTTGAATAAGCTAGAAAGCAGGTTCTTCCCTAGATCCTTAAGAGCCCAAGCTGGCCCACACCTTGATTTAGGCTTTATGACACCTGGAGCAGAGGAACCAGGTGAGCCTACCTGGATTTCTGATATATGGACTGTGAGCTAATAATTTGTGTTGCTTTAAGCTACTACATTTATGGTAATTTGTTACACAGCCATAGAAAACCACACATGACTCCTGCCATCCCGATACCAGTTGGGGTGGCAAGGAGGAAGGAGAGGAAAATTACATTTCTTTACATAATTGCCCTTCAAAATTAGTTGCCCTTTTATTAGCAGGACATAACTGTGGTTCATTGTATGAACAACCTCAACTAGATCATGGGAAACATTTCTGTCCCTTTCTGTTGGTTGTCCCAGTTTCTCTGATTATTACCAATTGACCACCAGTTCTCTTCATCTGGCAGGTGTCCAAATGATATTTCTCCAGAAAGACTCGTGGCATGGTCCTGGTAGGAAGTTGAGCAGGGGTATATGAATGAAGCTCAACTTCTTTCTCCCTAGTCCAGCACATTCTACCAATAGATATTCTATGTCTTTTGCTTCCAGGGTTCTATTACCCAGGTAGTGGCCATTTTAGGAGTTACCAGCAGAACTGCTTATACTCCTTCCATCTTCTCCAGGAACCACTTAATCTGGGGGAAACTCCAGCAACCTTTCCACCCCAAAGAGTGGGGATGCTGTTCAACTTCACTACCTTTCTTCTGCCAGCTGAATGGCTCTGTAACTTTCAGACTAGATACGATCACAGATCTCAGATTTAGGTCAGCTGGGAGATTATAAACTCTTCGTTCCACGAAAAGATGACCTCTATTATTCCTGGTCCTTCCTTAAAACTCTTAAACGTGGCCGGGTGCAGTGGCGCACGCCTATAATCCCAGCACTTTGGGAGGCTGAGGCGGGTGGATCACCTGAGGTCAGGAGTTCACGACCAGCCTGACTAACATGATGAAACATGTCTCTACTAAATACAAAAAATTAGCTGGGTGTGGTGGCACATGCCTGTAATCTGAGCTACTTCGGAGGCTGAGACAGGAGAATCACTTGTATCTGGGAGGCGGAGGTTGCACTGAGCCGAGATCAAGCCATTGCACTCCAGCCTGGGCAATAAGAGCAAAACTCCGTCTCAAAAAGAAAAAAAAAACTCTCAATGGTAAAAGTTATCAAACCAGTTCAGCCTGTATTGCCCTTGTGGGAACCAGAGTCTCAGGCCAAGAATTGGGCCTTATTTGAACTTAGCTTTAGAGAATTGAGCGTTCTTAACAGGGCAATATTCCTACTAAAATCTCTGAAATATTTGTTATCTTCTAAGAGCAGGAACTCAATTATGCTCCCATATCATTGTGTAATATTTTTCCTCTTAAAAATTCAGTTCATAAATGTCCAAAAAAAGAGATCTATTGTAACTAAGTAGAATTTTATCTGAGTAAAACAAGGAAGGTCAATATTGGAAATCTATCAATATAATCTCACCACATAGACAGATTAAAGGAGAAAAGCCACAGGGTCATTTCTAGGTGCATAAAAAAGCAGTGTATAAAACTGAACACTGATTCATACTTTTTTATAAGCTCAAAAAACCAGGAATAGAAGGAAACTTTTATGTAATAAAGAGCATCTACCTAAAATTTACAGCAAACATCACATTTTAAAAGCATTTTTACTAATGTCATGAATAAGATGAGGATGCCCACTATCATTGCTACTATTCCATTCCAATGGTTGTAAGAAAATGAAAAAGAGGTTTAAGGAAGAGACAAGTTAGTGATTTTTGCATATGATATTATTAACATAGAAAATCCAAGAGCATCTACTGAAAAACTAATAGTACTGTATAACAAAACAAAATACAGCCTGTAATCCCAGCACTTTGGGAGG
The DNA here is from genome assembly GCF_000001405.40 of Homo sapiens. Lineage (NCBI taxonomy): Eukaryota > Metazoa > Chordata > Mammalia > Primates > Hominidae > Homo > Homo sapiens. Next base: position 68,801,189 of record NC_000012.12, read on the forward strand.
CCAAGGTGGGTGGATCACGAGGTCAGGAGTTCGAGACCAGCCTGGCCAAGATGGCGAAACCCCATCTCTAGTAAAAATATAAAAATTAGCCAGGTGTGGTGGCACGCACCTGTAGTGCCAGATACTCAGGAGGCTAAGGCAGAAGAATCCTTTGAACCAGGGAGGCAGACACTGCAGTGAGCCGAGATTGTGCCACTGCACTCCCGTCTGGGTGACAGAGTGAGACTCCGTCTCAAAAAAAACCCAAAAAACAAAAAACAAAAACAGAAAGAACAAAAAAGCAGTATTGCTGGCTGGCTATAAGATCAAAACACAAAAATGAGTAATTGTTTCATATGTTAGCAATAACCAAATAGAAAATAAAATGTTACGGCTGGGCATGGTGGCTCACGCCTGTAATCCCAGCACTTTGGGAGGCCGAGGTGGGCGGATCACGAGGTCAGAAGATCGAGACCATCCTGGCTAACACGGTGAAACCTTGTCTCTACTAAAAATACAAAAAAAAAATAGCCGGGCGTGGTGGCAGGCGCCTGTAGTCCCAGCTACTCCGGAGGCTGAGGCAGGAGAATGGCATGAACCCGGGAGGCGGAGCTTACAGTGAGCCAAGATCGCACCACTGCACTCCAGCCTGGGTGACAGAGCGAAACTCCATCTCAAAAAAAAAGAAAAGAAAATTTTAAAAGGTGTAATTTAAAAACAGCAATAAAACTTATAAAGCACTTCAGAAAAAAGCCAGCCAAACATACAACAGCTTTAAGGAGGAAACAATAAAGCATTATTAAAGGATGTTAAGAGAGACCTAAAAATGGAGTGATATATCATGTTCTTATCTGGGAAGAATTCATACTGAAAATAAGTCAAATTAGTCTAACAATCCAATGCAATGAAAAGCAAAATCCCAAGAGGATTCTTTTTGTGAATTAGACAAACTGGTTCTAAAAGTTAACATCCAGGAAGAGCCAAAACAATACTGAAAAAGATAAAGAGAGCTTTTCCTGTTACATATTGAAACTTACTCTAAGGTTTACTATTCTGTTGCCCAGCAAGTCCTCTTATAGGTATGCAGCCTACTGTCCGTGTTGTTTATGGATTCATAAATTTACAGTGAATGTATAAAACACAGACTTAGTGGACAGGCATCAAATTGATCATTATCAAGAGAAGGGAGGGGAATGGGATAAAGAATAACAGTGAAATTTTAATTTTTTAAGCAATGTTTCATTAAAAAAATTTATTTAGGCCAGGCTCAGTGGCTCACACCTGTAATCCTAGCATTTTGGGAGGCCAAGGCAGGTGGATTGCTTGAGGTCGGGAGTTTGAGACCAGCCTGGCCAACATGGTAAAACCCCATCTCTACTAAAAATACTAAAGATTAGCCAGGCATAGTGGTACAATCTTGGCTCACTGCACTCAGTGTGGGCGACAGAGCAAGACTCTGTTTCAAAAATAAATAAATAAATAATAAAAAAAATATGTTTGATGCAGGAATGACAAATGTGAATTCTGGGTAGTGGTTTCTTTTTTTCTTTTTTTGTTCTTCAGAGCAGAAGAACTTGAGGCGGTGGTTTCTTTTGTTGAATATTAATTGTTCTGTGAATGTTTCTGTATGTTTCAGTCAAACAAAAAGTTGATTAATTTTCAAAGTAAAAACAAAAAGTCTTTGTATTCACTACTTGCTGGGATTTTGCTTTTTATTTTTTACTTTATTTATTTATTTATTTTTTGAGATGGAGTCTCACTCTCACTCTGTCTCCCAGGCTGGAGCGCAGTGGCATGATCTCTGCCTCCCAGGTTTAAGCAATTCTCCTGCCTCAGCCTCTGGAGTAGCTGGGATTACAGGCGTGCACCACCATACCCGGCTAATTTTTTGTATTTTTAGTAGAGACAGGGTTTCACCATGCTGGCCAGGCTGGTCTCGAACTCCTGGCCTCAGGTGATCCACTCGCCTCACCCTGCCAAAGTGGTGGGATTACAGGCATGAGCCACCATGCCCGGCCTATTTTTTACTTTTTTATTTTCCAGGACAGAGTCTTGCTCTGCCGCCCAGGCTCGAGTGCAGTGGCGCGATCTCGGCTCACTGCAACATCTGCCTCCCAGGTTCAAGAGATTCTGCTGCCTCAGCCTCCCGAGCAGCTGAGATTACAGGCTTGCACCACCATGCCCGCCTAATTTTTGTATTTTTAGCAGGGACGGGGTTTTACATGCTGGTCTCAAACTCCTGACCTTCAGTGATCTGCCTGTCTTGGCCTCCCAAAGTACTGGGATTACAGGCGTGAGCCACTGCGTCCGGCCCGGATTTTGCCTTTTAAATAACACTATTCAGTTCCAGATGTTTGGAAAGACATAAGGAATTTGAACTACTTCTGTAATTTTAGATGGTCTCATAAATATTGTGAAACTCAGCATTCTAAACACGGTTTCTGAGCTAAATCTTGTTTAGTTTTCACCATGCTTTAAAGATTAGTTGTGGCCAGGCACAGTGGCTCACGCCTGTAATCCCAGCATTTTGGGAGGGTGAGACGGGTGGATCACCTGAGGCCAGGAGTTCGAGACCAGCCTGGCCAACATAGTGAAATCCCGTCTCTACTAAAAATACAAAAATTAGCCGGGTATGGTGGCACAAGCTTGTAATCCCAGCTACTCGGGAGGCTGAGGCAGGAGAATCACTTGAACCCAGGAGGTGGAGGCTGCAATGAGCTGAGATCGTGCCACTGCACTCCAACCTGGGTGACAGAGTGAGACTCCGTCTCAAAAAAAAAAAAAAAAGAAAGACAAAAGATTAGTTATGACTAATAAATACAAGTACGAAGTGGCCCTTGGGTCAAGATAAGTCTGTTGTAGACTTTTTTTTTTCCCCTTGAGACATGGTCTCACTCTGTCACATAGGCTGGAGTGCAGTGGCAGGATCACACCACAACCTATCCGGGCTCAAGCCATCCTCCCAGCTCTGGCTCCCAAGTAGCTAGGACTATAGGTGAGTGCCACCACGCCTGGCTAATTTTTTTTTGCAATTTATAGAGACAGGGTTTCGCCATGTTGCTCAGGCTGGTCTCAAACTCTTGGCCTCAATAGATCCTCCAGCCTTGGCCTCCCACAGTGCTGGGATTACAGGTGTGAGCCTTGTTTGCAGAGTTTAGGTCCCAGAGAATATAAAGACACTCAAAGTATCTCAACCTCTTGGAACACCTCTTGGGCATCAAGAACAACGCTACTAGAAATAAGCAGTTTGCCTCTAGAGAAACTTCAAGTAAGCACAACAAAGGGCAAAGTGACACAAGATAACTGTGGAATGCAAGCAAACAGCAGCAGCTGGTCTGTATTTTTTTAAATGGCAAAGTCACAAACAACAGCAACTGCTTTTAGAGTGAGCAGGTAGTTTGCTTTCTTTTTTTTCAAATGGAACTCACTTTTTAAGTGATGACATGCACTTGGGGGTGGGTAGGTGTGAGTTCATTTGTGTTTTGAAATCCCAAATTAATGAGCATGATAAACCGCTATTGCTGGCCCTGTCTGACTCTCTACTCTGAGTAATTGGTGGGTTCCCCCCAACCTTCTCCTAACCCTCACCCTTTTTCCCTTTCCATTGACTTGGGACAGTCCTTGTCAAAGTGCCAATCACAGTGGGAAGGAGGAGAAGGGGGGAGGTCACAGTGCATGGGATTCAAGGTCACAGTGGGCGGAGCAACGGGGATCACCAGGCAAGTAAGTCAAGTTCCCGCTGCTCAAGTCCAGCTGTCTGCCACGGTAGTGCAACCCTTGGCGGACGACCCAGGACGCGTTGACGCGGCAGTCGCGCCATCTCTTCTTGCCTGCATTTATCTGCGCTGTTTGAAGCCGTGTGACCCATCAGGACCCAGAGGCTGTCTGATCACATTATTGGGCTGTCTGCTGTCTTCGGGTTAGGAGATCCTGGTTGGCCTGAAGGGAAGAAGATCAGAGGAAGACCTATCGAGGATGGGTTTCTCCTGCTTCTCCTCGGGTTGGCGCTGCCCAGGATCCGCTTCCTGGCCTCGGTGTACTCGGCTTCCCACTGTGCCAGGGACTTGACTGGAAGGGCGGGCCTGCTAGCGGACTTGGGGCTGCTGACCACACCGTTGCTGGTGGGCCTCTTGAGGATGCGGACCTGTGGAGGGGGTCCCGGGGGAAAATTATCATCCTGAATCACAATGGGCACTTTGGGAGATTTGAATTTCCTGCTTTCTGTGTGATCTTCAGTTTTTTTTCCAGACGTCTATTTCCCCGCTGTCTGCCGTCTCCTCCCAGCTCTCAGCAACCTCCTCATATTCCATCTTACTCGCCACTTTCCAGATCGCTTGCTTTCTTATTTCCACATTTTCTCTGACTTTTGCAGTATTCAATATTATTACCTGATTCTGATTTTTCAGACATCACTATATGGTCCTTGGCTTTTTGGTCGTTCCTCTCATTCCTTTGCTGTTTCAAGCTCTGTTCCCAGCCTAAGCTTTTTACCACCGAATTCTGTTCTGTGACCCATAACTTAAAACTAACCCAACTTTTCATTCCCTCCAGACTTTTTTTGGTAAGCAGTATCATCATGCTTTAGGTGGACACTGAGTCATACTGCTGTGGTAGTGCTGGTACACGTAGTTTTGAATACCAGGTTCTTGAGTGAATCCTTTTTACTTCTCTCTCTCTCCCCCACCCCCGCTTCTCCCTTCTGCCTTCATTTCTGACCCTTCTTTTCTGGTTCCATTAGAAAAGGACTAATCTTATCAGTTCTGCCTTTTTTTTTCTGCTCTAATAATTTTGTCAAGATAATTTTTTCAAAGCACAAGGCCAATGAGAAGGGGGAAAGTCGGTCCAGAAGGCAGCCGGCCCGACTATTCTGAGTTTGAATCTACTCTTGGTGGTCCTGTTAAAATACAGTTTGAAGCAAATCACTTGTTTTTATGCTTCTAATGTCTACTCTGTCGAAAGCCCAAATTTCCTTGCTTGGCATTTAAGGAGACTCCAAGTTCTTAAAACTTCTTCTTGACTTTCATGCAAGTCAAACGGATTTATTTATTGTATCTCAAACAGTCCTCTTATATTTTCCTTTCTGTATTTTTTGATAATTTTCTTGTGCCTGGAATATTCTCTGCTTTTATTTAAGTCTCACCATCTTTCAAGACACAAAATATGTGTGATCTCTGAGGCCTTTGTGAACTGCCTCCAGCATTTACTAAGCAATTAATTCTGTCTCTGAACTTTTATAGCACAAACCCATTCGTTCACTTGATATTTAACAAATATCAACCTCTATCACTTATCTCTTTTTTTTTTTTTTTCTTCTGAGATGGAGTCTTGCTCTGTCACCCAGGCTGGACTGCAGTGGCGCGATCTCCGCTCACTGCAACCTCTGCCTCCCGAGATCAAGCGATTCTTCTGCCTCAGCCTCCCAAGTGGCTAGGATTACAGGCGCCCGCCACGGGGCCCGGCTAATTTTTGTATTTTTAGTAGAGACAAGGTTTCACCATCTTGGCCAGGCTGGTCTCGAACTCCTAACCTCGTGATCCACCCACCTCAGCCTCCCAAAGTGCTGGGATTACAAGCGTGAGCCACCGTGCGCAGCCTATCACTTATCTTTTCATGCTTACATTTTCTCACTGCTTGAGATTTTCTTTCATCCAGGGTCAAGCACTGAGTCTATTAGAAACCCCACTGTATATGATCTGATGAAGATGAGATTATCTTTTTAAAAGCCACATATTAAATCTCTTAAGTTAATAATATTGGCAATCAACTTAAATCAACTGAGTGACCACTATGTTTAAGGAAGTTTCCTTTCTGGTAGGCTGGGAAGCGGGAGAAGGGAAGGATATAACTTTATAAAAAAAAAAAAGCTGCAGAAGGGAAGGATATAACTTTATAAAAAAAGGTCCTTGTTCACAAGGAGCTAATCACTTACTGGCCAGAGAAGAAACGTGTTCCTTCTTTGCAATGGCTGTGTTTTTGGGTTTAGCTAACTCAATTCTTTATGTCCTCAATTTATGAGACCGCATCAAAAACGTTTTTGCCACATCTCTGTGGGAAAGTAGGTGAGTCAGAATGAGTGCATAATATATAAGTATATATTTTAATGATAATGAATGTGTAGATTAACAAACCCAAACTTTGTTTTTGTTTTTTTGAGAGTCTTGCCCTGTCGCCCAGGCTGGAGTGCAATGGCATGATCTTGGCTCACTGCAGCCTCTGCCTCCCGGGTTCACAGGATTGTCCTGCCTCAGCCTCCGGAGTAGAGTAGCTGGGATTACAGGTGACCGCCACCACGCCCGACTAATTTTTGTAGTTTTTAGTAGAGACGGCGTTTCCCATGTTGGCCAGGTTGGTCTTGAACTCCTGACCTCAAGTGATCCACCCGCCTCGGCCTACCCAAAGTGATGGGATTACAAGCGTGAGCCACCGCGCCCAGCCAAACCCAAACATTCTAAAAGCGCAGAGTAACCGCTCCCCTCCCCGCCAACGGTAACCAGCATCTTCGTTCTCCAACCAGAACAGCTGTATGCACCGGTGTATAAGCCTGCCTTAAGTGCTATTTTTAATCTTTTTTAAAAACAGGCCTTAAAATAACTCATTTGGGTACAACTCCAGCGGCTGGTGGAGTGGGCTTAATATATTAAACAGCTGTTAATTTTGGTTTCTTTTTGGTAACAGCGACACGGAGATCCGCATTTGTCGCAGTTTCCACCGCGGGCGGGAAGTGTAAACACAAGAAATACAAACATAGCGCAACGGCTAAAGGAGTGTCACAGCGCCAAACCTTGCTGGCTCCGCGCCAGGCCGAGCCCCACCCTCTCAGCTCGCGGCCAACACCCCCACCCCGCCTCACAGCCCGCCGCGCCCGCGGGGCGACACCCCCCACTCCATCATCCCGGAGGTGGTGCGGCCGAGCCCCGGACCCAATTGGCGGAAGCGGGGCCGGTTGTGTGCGCGCGCACAAATGCCCGGATGCGCCGCGACGACCCGCGCGCTCCCCTCGGGCGGTAGGGGGCGCGCACCGAGGCACCGCGGCGAGCTTGGCTGCTTCTGGGGCCTGTGTGGCCCTGTGTGTCGGAAAGATGGAGCAAGAAGCCGAGCCCGAGGGGCGGCCGCGACCCCTCTGACCGAGATCCTGCTGCTTTCGCAGCCAGGAGCACCGTCCCTCCCCGGATTAGTGCGTACGAGCGCCCAGTGCCCTGGCCCGGAGAGTGGAATGATCCCCGAGGCCCAGGGCGTCGTGCTTCCGCGCGCCCCGTGAAGGAAACTGGGGAGTCTTGAGGGACCCCCGACTCCAAGCGCGAAAACCCCGGATGGTGAGGAGCAGGTACTGGCCCGGCAGCGAGCGGTCACTTTTGGGTCTGGGCTCTGACGGTGTCCCCTCTATCGCTGGTTCCCAGCCTCTGCCCGTTCGCAGCCTTTGTGCGGTTCGTGGCTGGGGGCTCGGGGCGCGGGGCGCGGGGCATGGGGCACGTGGCTTTGCGGAGGTTTTGTTGGACTGGGGCTAGGCAGTCGCCGCCAGGGAGGAGGGCGGGATTTCGGACGGCTCTCGCGGCGGTGGGGGTGGGGGTGGTTCGGAGGTCTCCGCGGGAGTTCAGGGTAAAGGTCACGGGGGCCGGGGGCTGCGGGGCCGCTTCGGCGCGGGAGGTCCGGATGATCGCAGGTGCCTGTCGGGTCACTAGTGTGAACGCTGCGCGTAGTCTGGGCGGGATTGGGCCGGTTCAGTGGGCAGGTTGACTCAGCTTTTCCTCTTGAGCTGGTCAAGTTCAGACACGTTCCGAAACTGCAGTAAAAGGAGTTAAGTCCTGACTTGTCTCCAGCTGGGGCTATTTAAACCATGCATTTTCCCAGCTGTGTTCAGTGGCGATTGGAGGGTAGACCTGTGGGCACGGACGCACGCCACTTTTTCTCTGCTGATCCAGGTAAGCACCGACTTGCTTGTAGCTTTAGTTTTAACTGTTGTTTATGTTCTTTATATATGATGTATTTTCCACAGATGTTTCATGATTTCCAGTTTTCATCGTGTCTTTTTTTTCCTTGTAGGCAAATGTGCAATACCAACATGTCTGTACCTACTGATGGTGCTGTAACCACCTCACAGATTCCAGCTTCGGAACAAGAGACCCTGGTTAGTATTTTTGTCTCGTGTAACTTTTAAGAATAATTTATTTTATGAAGTGATAAACTAAATTTCGTATACCTCAATTGTAGCATGGCTCTGTAAATAAAATTGTATGTGCATAGCTTAAAGTGTGCTACCTCTGGCGTAACTGCGTGGAGTTAAAAACTGTTAAGAACTGGTCAGTATTTTTTTAGCCATTTGCCACATTTGCTTTAAAAATTAGTTCCATTACATTGTTAAGCGTGGTTGAAGTTACGTTTGTTACGTGACTGATTTTTTTTTCCTTTTTGACCTCCCAGTATTTAATTTTTAAAAATGGTTTCTAAAAGTCAAAAAAGTTATTCGTGCTTGTTTTAAAGATTTTTGTCATTAGAGAAATTTTAAAGTAAAACCTGAAAATTCCAGGCTTTTTGCTCCATGTTTCCTTTTAGATTTTTTGTGTGCGTACCCACATATATTTACATTTGAATTTAAATCTATGTTATTGTCCTGTTTGTTGTACTAACAAGATGAAACTGTAGTTGTTCTGTGACTTGCATCCTTGTCAATAAATAAAGTCTACAGAATTCTTTTTAATGGCTGCATAGTATTCCACAGCATGAGTATACCATTTTAAAAATTATTTATGCCTTTACTGATAGGTTTTTAAAAATTGCCTCCTGTTTTTGAGTATTACAGATAGTGCCGCTTTGTACATGCATCCCGTGTGACTATTTCTGTAAGAAAGATTTTATAGAATTATAGGCTGGCCTCGGTGGCTCACCCCTGTAATCCCATCACTTTGGGAGGCCAAGGCGGACCGATCACCTGAGATGAGGAGTTCAAGACTAGCCTGGCCAACATGGTGAAAACCTGTCTCTACTAAAAATACAAAAATTAGTCGGGCATGGTGGCGCGCGCCTATAATCCCCTGCTGAGGAGGCTGGGGCAGGAGAATCGCTTGAACCCAGGAGGCAGAGGTTGCGGTGAGCCAAGATTGCGCCATTTCACTCCAGCCTGGGCGATAAGAGCGAAACTCCGTCTAAAAAAAAAAAAAAGAAAAGAAAAAGATTTTAGAGAATTAGAACTCCTGAGTTCTCAATTTTACTATTTGATTGCTACTGGTAACTTGCTCACCAAAAGGCTCTAACAGTTTCACTCCTGCCAATACTGAATATCACCAATCTTTAATTATTATTATTATTATTTTTTTTGAGGCGGAGTCTTGCTCTGTCTCCCAGGCTGGAGTGCAGTGGCACAATCTCGGCTCACTGCAATCTCCGTTCCCCGGGTTCACGCCATTCCCCTGCCTCAGCCTCCCGAGTAGCTGGGACTACAGGCGCCCACCACCACGCCCGGCTAATTTTTTGTATTTTTAGTAGAGACGGGGTTTCACCATGTTAGCCAGGATGATCTTGATCCCCTGACCTGGTGATCCGCCCGCCTCGGCCTCCCAAAGTGCTGGGATTACAGGCGTGAGTCACTGCGCCTGGCCTCTTTTATTATTATTACTATTTTTTTGATAAAAGGTACTGTACCATTGTTTAAATTCATTTTTCTCTAGTTTCTTGGTGAGGCTGGGCACCTTTCCTTTTTGTTTTTGTTTTTGTTTTTTTTGAGACAGAGTTTCACTCCTGTTGCCCAGGCTGGAGTGCAATGGCGAGATCTTGTCTCATTGCAACCTCTGCCTCACGGGTTCAAGCGATTCTCTTGCCTCAGCCTCTGGAGTAGCTGGGATTACAGGCATGCGCCACCACGCTCAGCTAATTTTGTATTTTTAGTAGAGATGGGGTTTTTCCATGTTGGTCAGGCTGGTCTTGAACTCCCAACTTCAGGTGATCTGCCTGCCTCGGCCTCCCAAAGTGCTGGGATTACAGGCGTGAATCACTGCACCAGGCCTCCATTTTGTTAAGTCATTTATTTCTTCTGGGACTTGCCTAGTCTTATCTGTCCATTTTCCTTTTAGTTTTTTAAAATTTTTCTTAGTAATTGGAGTAGCTCTATGTGTTTCAAGTATATTTAACTTTTGTTGTTTACTAATGTAGCATTTAATTTTATGTTGTCTTTTCCCCATTGAGAACAATTCTGTGAAGTAAAATTTGTTGGCTTTTGAATTTCATATCATGCTTTGGAAGAACTCTCCTGTCCCAAGATCTTGCAAATATATTCCTATATTTTCTTCTAGATTTAAATTTTTTAAATATTTAGATCTTCACCTGTAATTTACCTTCTTGTTCTTCAATGTAAGATTACAAATGCTATTATCTTTTATAGCTGTTTTCTCATTAATACATGTCTTTTAAGTCACTAATATACTGATGGCTTTCCATTACAGATTTTTTTTTTTTTTTTTTTTTGAGACTGAGTCTTGGTCTGTTGCCCAGGCTGGAGTGCAGTGGCATGATCTCGGCTCACTGCAACCTCTGCTTCCTGGGTTCAAGCAATTCTGCCGCAGCCTCCCGAGTAGCTGGGATTACAGGCACCCACCTCCACACCCGGATAATTTTTGTACTTTTAGTAGAGATAGGGTTTCACCATGTTGTCCAGGCTGGTCTTGAACTTCTGACCTCCTGATCTGCCTGTCTTGGCCTCCCAAAGTGCTGGGATTAAAGGCATGAGCCACTGCGCCTGGCCCACACCTGGGTAATTTTTGTATATTTAATAGAGACGGAGTTTCACTGTGTTGGCCAGGCTGGTCTCACACTCCTGACCTCAGGTGATCTGCCTGCCTCGGCCTCCCAAAGTGCTGGGATTACAGACCTGAGCCACTGCACCTGGCTTCCATTACAGATTTTTACTTTGAATTATTTTATCTAATTTGAAGCTAATATAGCATATAATAAAAATTCAGGAGAAAAAAGGTTATTTTTAAATCTTTTTTGAGAGAGTCCATTCTTTAGCCTGAAAGTAAAGTGCATATGTAAGCACAGTTAAAAAAAAAAAAAGTGATCAGAAAAATTAATAATTCAATTCTATATGTATTTTAAATTTTTCAATTGTTAAATAATATTTGTTTTATTGATTAGCTGGAAATAGGCAATTTTTAAAAATCTGTTTTTAAGGCATCCCCAATGGGGGTGCTGTCAGATTTTAAAGTTAGACAGAGGACCGGGGCATATTAAAGAGAGGTGCAGAGGTACCAGTTTGTGTGGTAGTGGCAAGCTGTAAAGATACTTGAGTTTTGCAGATTTTGATAAACCAAAAGGAAGGGAGAAAGTGCATAGTATATTACATTCCCCTCCCCCATGACAATTATTTTTCTCAAGACCATTTGTAAAACCTCTAGATAAGGGGCAGGCAAATGTTAGCCTGTCAGCCAACTTTGGCCTGTTACCTGTTTTTGTTTTAGTTTTTAAATTTTTTTTGTAGAGGTGGAGTCTCTCAGTGTGGCCCAGGCTGGTCTTGAACACCTAGCCTCAAGCAAACCTCTAGCACTGTCTCCCAAAGTGCTGGGGTTATAGGCAAGAGCCACCTCTCCCAGCCAGCTGCCTTTCTTTCTGTAAGGAAAATTTTACTGGAATGCAACCATGCCCGTTGGTTTACATAGTAGCCATGCTTTTTACTTGGATAGAACCATTTGTATGAAAAGCTTAAAATACTTACAGTCTGGCTCTTTACAGAAAAAAATTGACCCCTAATCTAGTTGGCAGGCTCCTTGCATACAGGTCATATGTCTTATTTGTAATTTCTTTTGCAGTACCTACCACTGTCCAGTGCATAGTAGAAGCTCAATAAATGTTTGTCAAGTAGATATTTGAAATGTAGACTAACTAAGAGGCAGCATGATATAGTAGGAAGAAAATGCTGAGTTGTAGTTGAGGGACCTGGGTTGTTATCTCTGATCTGTTCTTAATTACCCTTGTCAGCTTGGGTTAGTTAGTTAGGTTCTCTAGCCTTCAGGAACCTAATCTTTAGAAAGAGAAGATTGATAACAGGACCCACTCTAAAGATTTATTCATTTCTCTTTGATTCTCTAAGTTAGCTTGCAATAAGCTCGTTGGATCAGTACGGTAAGCTCATTGGATCTCAGTAATTTATGGTTGTTTGTAAGGCAGTAAGCAGGTAATATAAATAGCTGAAGGAAAAAGTAATCTTTGCTCTTTTGGATTGGATACTGTCTGTGATCACAACTGATACTTGATGATTCCATGATACTTGCATAATGATTAGATCCTCCCCAGCATTTTTTCCAAATCCCCTTTATTGAACTTGATGGATATGTTTGCTGCAGGGCCTATAGTTCTGGGATAATTTTGGAAGTATAATAGCAGTTCTTTTCTCTTTATAGGTTAGACCAAAGCCATTGCTTTTGAAGTTATTAAAGTCTGTTGGTGCACAAAAAGACACTTATACTATGAAAGAGGTAAGCTGAATCAAGAGATAAGTAGTATCTCACTAGTTACATGTAGCCATACTTAAAGTTTTCAAGACCATGTGGAGAAATTGGCCATATAGAAGGATTTTTCATTAAGCAGCAACATTTAATTTTGTGGTCGTTTGGACTATATTTTAAAGCTGAAAATTCTAATTATACTCGAGTTTCATTTCTCAGCTAGGAACTCAGATAAATGGAAGCCCCGTAAGGGTGCTTGACCATTTTATGCTGTCAACCCTTTGGTAGACTCCTTCCCAGAATCATGTTTTTAAATGTATGAAATAAAATGTATAGAATTACAAAGGAAACATACTAAAATACGGTTACCAAAATAGTAAACTAGTTTGTGATATGTGTGCTTTTGTTATTAACATAATAAATACTAAGATTTAGAAGAAGATATAATAAATATAATGTTTTTTTGTTTTTTGAGACGAAGTCTCGCTCTGTCACCCAAGCTGGAGTGCAGTGGCACGATCTCAGCTCACTGCAACCTCCGCCTCCTAGATTCAAGCCCTTCTTCTGCCTTACCCTTCCAAGTAGCTGGGATTATAGGCACCTGCCACCACGCCTGGCTAATTTTTTGTCTTTTTAGTAGAGATGGGGTTTCTCCATGTTGGCCAGGCTGGTCTTGAACTCCTAGTCTCAGGTGATCCACTTGCCTTGGCCTCCCAAAATGCTGGGATTATAGGCATGAGCCACCATGCCTGGCCAATAAATATTATCTTGATATAGTGAGGAATATAAGTCATATTTTGAAATGTTTGCCATAAGTACAGTATGATAGGAAAACACCTCTGATTTTTGTTGGTGATGAAATCACAGGTATTAATACTGTTGTGATTTGTTGCCTACATTTATAATCGAAGGAAAAGCTAAATTCTAGTTAGAAGTTTGTGAAAATAAGAATAGAATTTTTTTTTTCCCATCCAAATTAATGGACCCCCTGAATTCTATCCAAGGACTTCTTGGGCATCCCTGGATCCCAGGTTAAGAACTTCTGCACTAGAGATACATGAGTACAGTATACTGATCTTTCTGGGATAGAGGTGAGCTGATTCATGACCATATATTCTATCTAATGGTTCCAGCATTTTAATGCATTCCCCACCTTTAAATTTGTGCACAGAAGCATGATTTTCAGTGACAGATTGAGCAACCTTAGGCAGAATTTCAGTGTGATTGAAATATGCCTGTTCTCTGTCTCTCCCACTTAGTTTATGGGACTCAGATTACTTAAAACATTTAAGTTTCTTTCTTACAACGGTATAGTGGGGCAGGAAGAGCTTCCATTTTTCTTTTTCCTCTCCAGCTATACTTTTAGAAACTTCCTTAAAGGATGTTTGGTAGAATAAATCTAAGTTCTCTTCCTTTTTCCTTTCCCACTGCTGGACAGCAATCTGTCCAATCCACAGTCACATAAGAATATTCCTTTAAGGCCGATGCCTGCTTAGCCAGTTAAATCCAAAGACAGTGTTTGTAGGAAAGGGCCAGGTTAAATGGTATTTTTAAGGCTAATTTGGGATTGACCTTATTATCATTGGATAATCAGTTAAGGAAACAAAAAAGTATGGATTTAGCAGTAGATAGAAATGAGAAAATTGGCCAAGGCCATCATAAAGACTTAGAATGCTTATGCTAAACTATGTAACAGTAGTGTATGTATTGTCTGATATAGTTCTCAGTTATAGGATCTTTGTTCTGGGGCACACAGGAAGGTAGTGAAAGCTAGTATGGGTAGTAAAAAGAGCGTTGGATTAAGAGTCAGAAGAGCTGGGGCCAGTTTCTTCTTCTTTTTTTTTTTTTTTTTTTTTTTTATGTGACAGTTTCTCACTCTCTTGCCCAGGCTGGAGTGCAGTGGCATGATCACTGCTCGCTGCAGCCTGGACCTCGTGGGCTCAGGTGATCCTCCCACCTCAGTGTCTGCAGTAGCTAGGACTACAGGCTTGTACCACTATGCCTGGCTAATTTTTGTATTTTTTTGTAGAGATGGAGTTTCACTATGTTGCCCAGGCTGGTCTGGAACTCCTGGGCTCAAGGGATCTGCTTACCTCGGCCTCCTAAAGTGCTAGATTTACAGGTGTGAGCCACTGTGCCCAACGCAATTTCTTCATTTCTAATACAGTGATAATAATCTTATGAAATATCAGAATGAGATAATACTTATAAAAGTACATTGTAAACTGTAAAATGCCATATGTATTTAGGTAGTTGTTAATAGGTTTATATCTGGATATCTTAAAAATGTATTGCCAACTTCTTGTCTTAATGCAGCACAGGGAATATAATTTAACTTTTATTAATGGTTCAAAGTCATTATTTTGATTATTTATCATAATATGGAGTAAATTGATACCTTAGAGGGTTTATTTCATTCTCAGAATTCTCTCAAACTGTTTTGTAGCTGTCATTGATTGATTGTTTTTCTGTCTTCCTCCTCTGGTGACCTCAGAGGCTATTGAGGTTTATAGTATTTATGACTATTTACTAAGTGGCTCCAGACCACTGCCATATTTTAGTTGATTTTTGTTTCTGCAACTTTTTTGGCTATCAGTTTTTTATTTTGCTGCCTTTTCCCTTCCTAATATGTTAGTATCTAAGTATCTGGGCAGAGTTAAAGTCTACAAGGAAAAAAACCTCACATTTTAAGGTTTGCTTAAGTAAATAGAGAAGCAGTTATTTCTGCTTCTGTCAAATTAAATGGAAAAGGCTTAAAAGTAGCTTTTTTTTTTTTTTTTTTTTTTTTTTTTGAGATGAAGTCTCACTCTGTTGCTTAAGCCGGAGTGCAGTGGCGCAATCTCGGCTCACTGCAGCCTCCACCTCCTGGGTTCAAGCAATTCTCCTGCCTCAGCCTCCCTAATAGCTGGGATTACAGGTGTCTGCCACCATGCCTGGCTAACTTTTGTATTTTTAGTAGAGATGGGACCAGGATGGTCTTTATCTCCTGACCTCGTGATCCATCCGCTTCGGCCTCCCGAAGTACTGGGATTACAGGTGTGAGCCACTGCGCCCAGCCAAAAGTAGCTTCTAAGTACAAAATGGTTGTTCTACATAGTTGTGGATATGGTTCCTGGTTGTTTACCCCTATTCAGATAAATAGGATATTATTAAATGTATTTACAACTAACATTTAGTTTTCTTTAATGCTCAGAAATCATATTTGTATTTCAGGTTCTTTTTTATCTTGGCCAGTATATTATGACTAAACGATTATATGATGAGAAGCAACAACATATTGTATATTGTTCAAATGATCTTCTAGGAGATTTGTTTGGCGTGCCAAGCTTCTCTGTGAAAGAGCACAGGTAATTCTTCAGTTTAGTCCATTGTAAAAAGCCATCTGGGCTAACATTTCAGTTCACCTCTACCCTCATTCACTTTTGTCAGAGAAAAACTGTTGAAACATATTAAAGACATGCTGAAACTTAATTTTTTAGCTCTGCGGCATATTATTTGAGAACCTGAGCTCTGGCATCTTATAAACCAGTGTTTGAAACCTAGCCCAATCATTTACTAGTTTTGTGACTAGATAAATTAACCTTTTTAAACCTGCTTCCCCATTTATAAAATAGGGATAATTAAATACTTCATGTGGAGGTTAAAGCTCTTGAAGAGAGACGTTGTATAAAAAAGCATAGTTTTGGGCACATACAAAGCATTCAAGTATTAGCTGTAGCTATTATAACTTTTTATTCCAGAAACAGTATACCACCACGTGGTAAAGGCTTACATTTGAGCCTTAGTTATTTTGGAGATCATTTTCATTGTCACCTATCATTATGGCACTTAACCAGCAGAATTTAACCCAGGTAATATTTCTAGAAATAGGCCTGGTGCGGTGGCTCACACCTGTAATCCCAGCACTTTGAGAGGCCAAGGCGGGTGGATCACCTGAGGTTGGGAGTTGGAGACCAGCCTGACCAACATGGAGAAACCCTGTCTCTACTAAAAATACAAAATTAGCTGGGTGTGGTGGTGCATGCCTGTAATTCCAGCTACTCGGGAGGCTGAGGCAGTAGAATCACTTGAACCAGGCAGGTGGAGGTTGTGGTTGAGGTGAGCCGAGATTGCGCCACTGCACTCCAGCCTGGGCAACGAGCAAAACTGCATCTGAAAAAAAAATTTTTTTAATATATATTTTTCTAAAATTATTCTTTTTTTTGTTTGTTTGTTTTGAGAGGGAGTCTTGCTCTATGGCCCAGGCTGGAGTGCAGTGGCATGATCTTGGCTCACTGCAACCTCCGTCTCCTGGGTTCAAGTGATTCTCCTGCCTCGGCTTCCCGAGTAGCTGGGATTACAGGTGCCTGCTGCCATGCCTAATTTTTGTATTTTTAGTAGAGACAGGGTTTCACGATGTTGACCAGGCTGGTCTTGAGCTCCTAACCTTCGGTAATCCACCTGCCATGGCCTCCCAAAGTGCTGGGATTACAGATGTGAGCAACCACACCCGGCCTACATTTGGAATTCTTTGTCACATTTGGTTTAGCACAGGCAATCCGTGTTGAGCCTTAGCATTCATTACATTAATAAATGGAATGAATACGTTCACCTGAGACAATTAACTAGCTTCTGCTAGTATTTAATGCTCAATAGTATAGCTGAAAAGATGATAATTAAATGGGATTTTATTTTATTAAAAAACATAACTTCCTCAGCTGAGCAAGGGATTTTATAACTTTAAAACAACCTTATTATTGTAAACATAGTATATATTATTATTGAACATTAGGAGATGACAGAAAACTAAGAAAAGTAAAGGAAAAAAAAGGACTGTAGTTTGTTAACAAAAGGTATTTTTACCAGTCATTTGTGTATTATGTGCAACTGTGTGTTTTAACCTAGTTATGAATATAGTACTATATTTAAATTTCATCTAGCTTCTTAATTTGTATTATAATTTGTATATTATATATTATAATATACATATAATATAATTATATATATTACAAATATATGTATAATTATTATTTTTTATTGATGAGTCACTTCTGTTTAATATCCATATATGTTGTCATTTTATACGTGGCCTTGGTATATATGGTTTAATTTTATAAATTTTAAAAATAACTATATTGGTATATTGGTGATTTCTTTACCTATTGAATATTGAATCTTCTATTTTTTTTCTTTTTTTTTTGAGATGAAGTCTTGCTCTGTTGCCCAGGCTGCAACCTCTGCCTCCTGGGTTCAAGCGATTCTCTTGCCTCAGCCTCCTGAGTAGCTGGGATTACAGGTGCACACTACTATGAGCAGCTAATTTTTTGTATTTTTAGTAGAGATGGGGTTTTGCCATGTTGGCCAGGCTGGTCTCGAACTCCTGACTTCAAGTGATCTGCCTGTCTTGGCCTCCCAAAGTGCTGGGATTACAGACGTGAGCCACTGTGCCTGGTCTGAATATTGAATCTTCGGATAATGTTTGGAAGTATGATTTCCTTGGACTTGAATTCTAAATGTTGAGAGATAAGAAATAGGAGAAATTACTGACTTGAAAAGGATATGAATTAAAAATATTGTGGGTTTAGGTTGCTGTATCCTTATTCCCAAGGATGAAAAAAGATAGTTGGGATTCATATTTCCTCTTAATATTGAGTGAGAAACAATATTTTGTGACAAACACTCTCTTAAATCCTTAGTTTAAAAACAAAAGGAAAAATCCATTGTGACATCAACGAATACTGGGGTAAATGAATTATCCTCCTGTTAGGATATAAACTTCATGAGGGCATATACATTTCTGTTTCATTCTTTGTTTTCCCCCGTGTCTGGTACATAGTACCAGTGACTGGTACGTGGTAGGTTTTCAGTCTGTATTTATTGAATGAATGAGTACTGCTTTATCTGTTAATAAGTTTCTTTTTTTTCTTCCCTGAGTCGGAGTTTTGCTCTTGTTGCCCAGGCTGGAGTGCAATGGCGTGATCTTGGCTCACCGCAACCTCTGCCTCCCGGGTTTAAGTGATTATCCCGCCTCAGTCTCCTGAGTAGCTGGGATTACAGGCATGCGCCACCATGCCCAGCTAATTTTATATTTTTAGTAGAGATGGGGTTTCTCCATGTTGGTCAGGCTGGTCTTGAGCTCCAGGCCTCGGGTGATCTGCCGGACTCGGCCTTCCGAAGTGCTGGGATTACAGGTGTCTGTGAGCCACTGCGCCCGGCCTCTGTTAATACGTTTTAAGATCAAGAAAGGAAGTTGAAGCTTGATGAAAGTCAAGATTATAATCAAATTCCTATTTAATGGATTTTGCGTAACTCAATAGTTTTTTTGGCAGTTTGTATTTAATGGATTTTGCATAACTCAATGCTTTTTTTTGGCAGTTTGCTACTAAGCACAGAGCTAAAAACATTCCTGTTTGAAAATAAGTATGTTCAACCTCTTCCTGCTTGCATACTCATTTTTTGGGGGTCTTCTGGTAAAGTCCAAACAAAGCACATTTCAGGAATTGGTAGTGTGAAATCTTTCAGCTAGAGAGACTTTAGTAATTATTAAAAGTAGCTGTACATAATCATTGTGCTACTAATTATTGTGCTTTTAAGTGCCTACAAGCTTGCCAATGATAAATTTGGTTTTGAATGTGTGCAGTAGTTCATACTAAGTATGTATGTAGAAGTCTGGTTAGATCCAGCTTAATACAAATTTTTATTCTAAAATGTACATCTCTTGTTATTTTTTTTTTTTCTGTCTACAAGGAAAATATATACCATGATCTACAGGAACTTGGTAGTAGTCAATCAGCAGGGTAAGTTAATTTTGAGCATCATGGATAAATACCATAAAAACGTTTTAAAGACATTTTTGTTTATGTGCATATGTTTTATAATTGTGATTCTCTTTAAAAGTTGCTTTAATTAAATATTGTAATAAAAGTATGATAAATTTATTAGAAGTACATATGAACTAAAACCACATACTGAGGTTCTAATGTAAAGTTAAATATCCTGTTAGATCAATTTAGACTTGGGATATCAGAGTTAGGATTTATTTTGAAAGGTCTGTAATTTCAAAAGCTCCTGTTTAGGAGTGATCTACCTTGAAAATGTATTGAAAGGCTTTGGGAAATAATATTGTTACCTAGGTAGGACCATGTGTAAGGATGAAGGATGAGTCTTTTTCTTTGGTTATAGACAAAATTTTGTTTACCAATTTGTGGAAGTGGAATTTTATGTTCCTACTTCCGTTTCTTAACTGGTTATTTTTGGGTCACATCTCTCTTTAATAAGCTGATAAAAGCATTGGGTTCTTGTTCCAGAAAGATGCACATGTATATATACATGGGTAAGTCAATAAGTGTTTTACAACCTACTTTCCATGAGAAAAGCCCTGATTTATGTGCTTGCTGACTTCCATAGTATAATACTCTCATTTGAAGGCTAAAAACATGGAGTTGGGAAGAGATGTACACAGTTTGCTTTTTTTTTTTTTTTTTTTTTGAGAAGGAATCTTGCTCTGTCACTCAGGCTGGAGTGTAGTGGCATGATTTCGACTCACTGCAACCTCCGCCTCCCAGGTTCAAGCAATTCTTCTGCCTCAGCCTCCCGAGTAGATGGGACTACAGGCGTATGCCACCACGCCCGGCTAATTTTTGTATTTTTAGTAGAGAGGGGGTTTCAGCATGTTGGCCAGGCTGGTCTCGAACTCCTGACCTTGTGATCTGCCTGCCTCGGCCTTCCAAAGTCCTGGGATTACAGGTATGAGCCACTGCACCCGGTCTCACAGTTTGCTTTTGAGTGCTGCTTAGAGCTGTCTCTAATACACTACACTGCTCCTAAAGCCCATCCTCGAACTACAGTTAAGAAATGCTCTTAGGCCAGGTGTGATGGCTCATGCCTATAATTCCAGCACTTTAGGAGGCTAAGGCAGGAGGATCACTTGAGCCGAGGAGTTCAAGACCAGCCTGGGCAGCATGGCAAAATCCTAACTCTGCAAAAACTACAAAAATCAGCTTGGTATAGTGGTGCATGCCTGTAGTCCTAGCTACTCAGGAGGCTGAGGCAGGAGGATTTTTTGAGGCTGGGAGGTCAGGACTGTAGTGAACTGTGATCATGCCATCCAGTCCAGGTGACAGAGCAAGACCTCATCTCTTAAAAAAGACAAAAACAAAACAAAACAAAAAAACACCTCTCAGGAGCTTGTTTAGTTCCTAGAATGAATTGACCACTCCCTTGTACTTCCTCTATTCCATATTCAGATTTTATTGTAAAATTGCTTTGTTTTACTTGTGGGTTTTTTTGTTTGTTTTTGAGATGGGCTCTCACTCTGTCACCCTGCTTGAAGTGCAGTGGTAATCTTGGCTCACTGCATCCTCCACCTCCAGGGCTCAAATGATCCTCCCCCTCAGCCTCCCAAGTTGCTGGGACTACAGATGTGCTCCACCACGCCTGGCTAATTTTTCTGTATGTTTGGTAGAGACGGTGTTGCTATGTTGCCCAGGCTAGTCTTGACCTGAGCTCAAGAGATATTCTCACCTCGGCCTCCCAAAGTTTAGGGGTTACAGGCATGAGCCACTGCGTCTGGCTGTTGCACTTGTTTATATTTTTGTTACCTGTGTCCTATTCAGGTTTGCATTGTGCATCACACACTATAGTGTTTTATTAATATGGTATTTAATAAATGTGTTGAATTGAATACTTATTCTTCCAAAGTTAGGATTTAAAGCCCAGAAAAGTATCTCCATTTTATCCCAAAATAAAAGTAGTTATTAGGCTGATGATTTGGCATTTTATTGTTTTAAAGCTCTTTTTTTTTTTGAGCTTTAGATTGTATCCTTTTTATTTCCTTTTTTTTTAATTATTATACTTTAAGTTTTAGGGTACATGTGTACAATGTGCAGGTTGGTTACATATGTATACCTGTTGTTTTAAAGCTCTTTAAGAAATTGTGTGATAGCTAAATATACAATTGTAGTATTTGTAGTAGTAGTTTGAGTTTTCTGAAGTATGTAACCCTGATGTATTCATTCCTTCATTTGTTTAAATAAACTTTGGCACATTACTAGAAAAATTGTATTATTGAGATGGAAACTTACAAATTACTTATTTGCAGTCTGAGTTTGGTTTAGATATCAGTAGAATTAACTTCAGAACTCCTATTCCATGTTCTCAACTTTGTCACTTTTTTTTTTTTGAGATGGAGTCTCACTCTGTCACCCAGGCTGGAGTGCAGTGGTGCGATCTCGGATCACTGCAACCTCTGCTTCCCGGGTTTAAGTGATTCTCCTTCCTCAGCCTCCCGAGTAGGTGGGATTACAGGTGCCTGCCACCACGTCCGGTTAATTTTTGTATTTTTAGTAGAGAAAGGGTTTCACCATGTTGACCAGGCTGGTCTCAAACTCCTGACCTCAGGTGATCCTCCCACCTTGGCCTCCCAAAGTGCTGGGATTACAAGTGTGAGCCACTGCACCCACCCAGCCTAGGGCTTCCTTTTTATTACATCTTTTTTGTAGCATCTGTTTATACTAATCCAAAATTCCTGGACAATATAACCTATTATGTACAACTTAAGAAAATTAGTGTAATGCCTTACCCATAGTATAAAGAGAAAATTAATCTATGATAATGCATAATTTCAAAATGTTAATGTCCAGGCATGAGTTCACTGTTAAGATGAAAATGTTTCCAAGGGGGGTAGTAAAGGGTATTTGATGATAATTGTCTGTATATCCCAACTCTGAAACTTTGACTTTTGAGCTCAAAGTCTGTATATCCAACTACAAATGAAACCTATGTGCCTGAATAACTCAGTTTGTTATCTTCCCATCCAATCTGTTTATCTTTCTAAAGTTTCTCTTTTAGTGAATGGTACCACTCATTTATTCACCCAAGTTGGAATCTTGGAATCATCTTAACTCCTTTCTTCCTTGCCTTCTATATCAAATACCAGGTCTTGTTGGTTTTTACCTATTTAATTTCTCTGGAATTTGTTTTCCATGCCTTAGTTTAGGCTTTAATAGTTTTTAGTTTGTATTATTGCAATTGTCTAATACTGGTTTTCCTGCCTCTGCCCTCTTTTTCTTATGTTTTGCTAGAGTGATTTGTCACTCTTCTGCTTAAAATTACCATTTAGGGGTTCATTATTGCTCTCTGGATGTAATATTTTCTGTGAGCTAGAAATCAGTTTCATTTCTTGGACA